>NC_000023.11:82159511-82462542 GCF_000001405.40 Homo sapiens | reverse complement strand
AATAACACTAAATAACAAGTATGTAAAATTGCTTACGGGTTTGTGGGTTGGCTGCAGCAGCTTTGTTTCATAATGCACATTAGCTGAGCTCTTTCCAGGCATCTGGTCAGGTTTAGTTTTGTTTCATATGTTTCATACTGGAGTTCAGGCTGAGGGAGCAGTTGCTACCTCAGAAATACTCTTCTCATAAAAATCACAGCATTATGCAAGAAGTTCAGCAGGATCATGTACTATCTCTTAAGGCCTTTGCTAGGAACAAGGAATCTTACTTCCATCTATATCTCATTGATCAAAAACAAGTCAGACAGCTAAGCCCAACTGTATGCCAGGCATTACACTTAATTTACTTAATTCTTATAAATAATTGATAAAATGGGTACTATTCTGCCCATTTTATAAATAAAGAAACTGAAAATCATTAAAATTAATTTATCTAGGATCAATAAATAATGGAGCCAGAATATCCACTCAGGAAGTAAAATTTCAGAGTGATTATTCACAATTTTTAAGCAAGAAACTAACACTATCCAAGATCTGGTCTCAAAATACCTTCCCAAATCATCTTCCAGTAAATACCATCACATCAGCTACATTATACTCATTTGTCAGACTCATTTGTCATTTCTTCAATATGTTACATACTTTAAACATTGAGGACAGGAATCACATCACAGACACCTCCCTATATCCATTTATTTCTGCAAGTCCCCAGGATGCAGTAGGCTTTCAGGTATTTATTAAATTAAATTTAGAACTGATATACATATTTAAAATATAATAAATATAGTACATTACTAAAGAAATAGAGAGTATTATTGGATTTAGAAAGGGTTTCTCCTTATTGTGGATACAAATGTCTTTTTCTGATCATTAAAACCAGAGGAATAAAGACATCTGAATTTTTATCTTTTAAATATGATTACCAATGACCTTTGATAAAGATTTGACAGGGAATATCTTAGAAAAGCAAGACGAAAAGCAAATATCCCAAGATGTGTTTAATTTCAGTTCTCTTTGTGGCATAGGGAATTGAGCAATTTAAAGCTATTCTGCCGTAGTTGCTTTTATGAGATAAACACTTGTGTTTCCTTCTGACACCCAATTATTTTGATGACAATGAGCCAACAGTTTTCCAGGGACTGATTTTGGTTTGTTCGTTCTTGCCTCTAGTTTGATTTTGTTTTTCCCTGCACATCTCCACATCAGAGAGCAAGAATAGATTTACCTAAACTGTTGGGTGGATATATATGAAAACGAGATGCTCTTTTTCATTTGTTTGCTCTTTAGAAATTACTGTAGGTGTGTATGTGAGTAAAATTTTTCAAACACATAAATACTTAAAAAAAGAAACTTCAGCAGTAATAAACTGTAGGCCGTTAAATGATAATTTTACATGTGAAGAGAAAAAGATGAGACAGAAAAAATTTTCTGCTGGGCTGAATAGAGAAATAAAGAACTTTAAAAATATAATTTATTTTTATACCCTCACATTAATACTTACAGAAATGTCAGGCCTACTTTAATTGGAGATGCTTAATAGTTGCAAGCTTTGCATGCATCCCTTTCCAATTTTACTATACCTACTGGCCTATGAAATGCAGATTCAGGTCATTTTAAAGTTAAATTCAGGAATTTTGGTCCTCAAGGTACTGTAGAAGACTCAGCAAAAATAACTTCTCAGTACTCACATTGGTAAGTAATCTCATAAAATCAGTTCTAAAAATTGCTTGCTTGATGCCATCTGCAACTGGTTTAAGTGTGAAGAATGCAATTTTAAAACAAAAAATCCTCTTCATATTTTTCTAGTGCAAATAGCGGCTTCTGTTTGTTAATGATTGATCATAATGCTTTTAATTCAGGAACTCTTTTCATGTTTCATGAATGTATGTACTCATACATTCACCTTGCATTTTGCAGTTATATCAGGGTAGGATAAGCGGATCTATATTTGTATGACAAATCAGAAATTTAGAATGTTTCAGGTTTTGATAAATGAATTAATGTTTATATGCGATCAAATTGGGACCACCAAAGCAACATCAAAATGGGAAAAATAGCAAAATTCAGAAATTACTTTTATTAGATGAACAATTTTAGTCATCATGCTGCATAAAGAGGGATTATTTTAATTTTTTCCAACAATAAGCCAAAACTTTATTTATGATAGAAACGGTACAAACTTCAAACCAAGCTGACGTTCCACCTTTGAAACACCAAGAAAGTCCTTTTCAGATGGTTACATTGTTAATTCTATAATAGCATTTACAATATCATTGCTATTGTTCAGGGCTCAGAAGGCCTTTGTTATCTAGACATATTTCCTTGTGACATGACCTATTCCAATGACAATTCTGTATCAATTTATTTTTCTAGAATATAATTTTAAAAATTATTGACTCCAAATCCCAGCAAATCTCATTTTTTATAATATGTCTGATGAATAAGAAAAGTGTAGAAGGGGAAAATTCAGTTAATTATTATAAGTTAATTCATTCCTTAACTTCCACACCTGTTTCATCAAACAAGAGGGCTCATTTATTATTCATTGCATGCCTGTATCAAAACATCTCATGTACCCCGTAAATATATACATCTACCATGTACTCACAACAATTAAAAACAAAAAATTTAAAATGACAAAAAAGTACATGACCTTCAAATCAAATAGACCAATATATTATTTGAATTGAAAATTATGTTATTCATGAAACACAACATACCAATTTATCCTGCACCTATGAATGCAAAGTGTTTTGAAATTTTTAAATTATATGCCATACGAAAAATAGGGCCTTATGTTTCACTAAAGGACATGTTTTCTTCAGTAAAATTTATTTTTAAAAACTTTTTTTACTAAAATATGTATGACTTTGCCTCATCTTTGCTGCTTTTGAAGTTTGTTTATTCTTGGCTGTGGCAATGGTCTCCTGCATGACATTCTATTTTGTACTAGTTCCTTCTCTGATTTACCCCAGGATATATGTTATCAGATCATCTTCCTAAAGAAAAGCTTTGGTTTATGCCTTTCCCCTGACCAAAGCTTCCAACTATTCCACAGTAGAGTTTAACTCTCCTTAGCCTGGTTAATGAGAATCACCCTAATAATTACCCATGCTACCTTTCCTGCTTCTTTTCCTACTATTCTCTTTCCAACATATCTCACATTCCCAAGCAAATTGGATTACTAGCTATTTCTCAACTGGCAATTTATTATTTCTGTGCTTTTCTGGTTACCCTTCTTTCTACATAGGTTGTTTCCCACCTTAATTAGCATCAAGCTTCCCTGTCCTTCAATACTCAGCTGAAATATCACCCCCTTCACACAGTCTTCTCTTAATCTGAGGCCAGAGTTCATCACTTCCAATTTACCTTGTGTACATCTCACTTGTGGCATACTATTTTCTTATTTATTATAGCTTTATGTGAAGGTTTTGCAGTTTCTATGAGATTGAAAACTCATTAAGGATAGCAATTATATTGCATGTATATATGTGTACTCCCCATAGTTTTATGCATATATGAGATTCATAATTTTTTGCTTATTTGGTTGATTGAATGAATACAAAAAAGAAAATGCATGCATCTTATTGAAGCATCAGCCCTCAGAAGACTCACTGCAGATGTTCCTGTATTTGTTCATTTGATAAATATTTATTAAATACCTACTACGTTCCAGACAGTGTATTGTGTTCATGGAGTTTATCAAGGAACAAGACCGAAGTTCCTATGCTCAAGGAAAGAAATGATCATTACATATATATTCTAAAACTTACTGCTTAACTCTCCAAGAGATTTTTCCAGTGACTTCTGTTTGGAAGACCAGAGCTTTGTATCGCAATGTCTCAGGCTTTTGAAGGGAATCTAAGAACTAATTTCTTGTCTTGTGACTTGTCATGAGTGGCTGCACTTTGCCCTCATTCCTGTACTGGGTGTACCGTGCCAGTTTCTGATTCTTGTGATTGCCTCTACTCATACTTGATCTCTCCTACCGTGCTGACTCAGCATTTCACCCTGACCTGCCCCTAAATCCACTGACTCTACTTTCTCTTCACAGACTAGCTCTTGGCATATTGTCCAGGCACTCCCAGAAATTCACAGTCAGCTTCACTCCTCCTGTGTGTGCACTGACAATTTGCTGTGACTTTGTCCTGCTGTGGGTAGCTCACATAGGACAGATATTGACTGACTGGTTACTGAATACAGAAATGTATAAACAAATGTGCCTTGTGCTAGTAGCAGATGGGCAGAAAACCAACCAAGTCTTCAACGAAGACCTAGTGAGTGCTAACCAGCATGCTAGGCAATGTGTGGGGAAACAATGGAGTAACTACATTCCCTCACATACAATTATAAAATTGGAAACTCTAGTCGGGGTAAAGTAAAAAACATACAAAGGAAATTCGTGAATCCATTATGAGTTCCTTCCCCATTTATATTATTTAAACACTTATGAGTATTTCTCTAAATTATAACAAGTACTACTTTTAAAATATATACTGCACACAAATAATTTATTTTTCTAGAATATAATTTTTAAAATATTTGACTCCAAAACCCAGCAAATTTCATTTTATATAATATGATAAATAAGAAAAGTGGAGAAGGGGAAAATTTAGTTAATTACCATAAGTTAATTCATATTACCTAAAGATGTTTTACTCTTCCTTTCCTGCTTTTTATTATTCCCTAGTTCTACAGTCTAAGCTAGATTTTCAGCTCTTGATCTGTAGCCAGAAGCCGAAAACTAATAGATAACAGTACATTTGAAATTCCATTGTATCTATATTTAACATGTATGAATTCAACTTTATATTATCACTTTTATTTCATTAAAATGTTAAATGTTTATTAAATGTTACATTATATTTTATATAGGTATTCCCTATTGTATGTCATAATTACCAATCTTATAAATATATTTTCACTTGTTATACCTGTTACTCTCTAGGGTTACATACCAAAATCATATTAAATGCAATGTTTCTAAGGGCAATGTAAAAGAATATAAAATAACTTCAAAAGTAATTTCAACTAAATGAAATCATTAACTTAGCAAATATCTTTAGAATTTTACCCCATACACAAGGTGTTTCTCTAAGTATGTCTATAGGGATTAGAAAGCAGAGTAAGCCAAATCATGGCAGAGAAACCAAAGTGAGGAGGGTAGACATGCAGCCATTTCATTGTTTTTGCTTTTATGAAAACTTCATCTAAATCTAAAAGTGAAAGTGAATATTTGTAGAGTTTGCATGGAAAAATGACTTCATAAATAAGTTTCTGAAAATAAATAACTTGGTATTTACTATGGCTTGACTATATCCCTTTCAAAATCAGATGTTGAAACCTAATGGCCAAGGTGATGGTATTAAAGATGGGGCCTTTGTGAGGTAACTGGGTTAAGAGTGCTCCTCAATGCATGGGATTAAGGCCCTTAGAAAAGTATCTTCATGCAGCATTTAGCTAGCTTGCCTATCTGCCTTCTACTATGTGAGAAGACAGTATCCCTCCCCTCTGGAGGATGCAACAACAAGGCTTCACCTTGGAAGCAGATAGCAGCTTTCATCAGACAATGAACCTGTCAGCATCTTGATCTTGGACTTGCCAGCCTCCAGAACTATAAAAGATAAATTTCTGTTCTTTATAAATTATTCAGTCTCAGGTAATGTGTTACAGCATCACAAGCAAAAACAGTGTTTACAGCAATGTTATTGAAATTCTGCAGGTAATAAATGAAATGGTTTTCAGTATATATAGAAGATCATAAATAAATGATAAGTAATCAAATACTATACAAAGTAGCAAATGTGCATTTTGTCTCTTACGTTAAAGTTAATGCTACTTTTCCAAACTATTTACATACAATATTATACTCTTCTGGGGTGGCTTAAAAACAGAAATTTATTTATTAATGAATATGCATTTTATTTATTTTTTAACTTTCATTTAAGGTTCAGGGGTACAAGTGCATGTTTGTTATATAGGAAAATTGAGTATTGTAGGGGTTTAGTATACAGATTATTTCATCAACCAGGTGATGAGAATAGTACCTGATAGGAAGTTTTTCTATCCTCACCCACTTCCCACCCTTCACCCTCAGGTAGGTCCTGGTGTCTGTTGTTTGGGTTATTTTTTTTTAATTATTATTATACTTTAAGTTTTGGGATGCATATGCACAACGTGCAGGCTTGTTACATAGGTATACATGTGCCATGTTGGTTTGCTGCACCCATCAACTTGTCATATACATTAGGTATACATGTGCCATGTTGGTTTGCTGCACCCATCAACTTGTCATTTACATTAGGTATTTCTCTTAACGCTATCCCTCCCCTAGCACTCCACCCCCCAACAGGTCCCAGTGTATGATGTTCCCCTTCCTGTGTCCATGTGTTCTCATTGTTCAACTCCCACTTATGAGTGAGAACATTCAGTGTTTGGTTTTCTGTCCTTGTGATATTTTGCTGAGAATGATGGTTTCCAGCTTCATCCATGTCCCTGAAAAGGACATGAACTCATCCTTTTTTATGGCTGCATAGTATTCCATGGTATATATGTGCCACATTTTCTTTATCCAGTCTATTATTGATAGACATTTGGATTGGTTCCAAGTCTCTGCTATTGTGAATAGTGTTGCAATTAATATACGTGTGCATGTGTCTTTATAGTAGAATTATTTATAATCCTTTGAGTATATACCCAGAAATGAGATTTCTGGGTCAAATGGTATTTCTTGTTCTAGATCCTTGAGGAATCACCACACTGTTTTCCACAATGGTTGAACTAATTTACACTCCCACCAACAGTATACAAGCATGCCTATTTCTCCATAACTTCTCCAGTATCTGTTTTCTCCTGAGTTTTTAATGATCACCATTCTAACTGGCATGAGATGGTATCTCATTGTGGTTTTGATTTGCATTTCTCTAATGACCAGTGACAATGAGCATTTTTTCATATTTCTGTTGGCTGCATAAATGTCTTCTTTTGAGAAGTGTCTGTTCATATGCTACTTTCAAAGAATTTCTTGATTTCTGCTTTAATTTCGTTGTTTACCCAGATGTCATTCAGAAGCAAATTGTTTAATTTTCATGTAATTATGTGGTTTTGAGCAATATTCTCAGCGTTGATTTGTAATTTGATTGCACTGTGGTTGGATACCATGGTTGGTGTAATTTCATCCTTTTTTAATTTGCTGAGGATTGCTATATGTCTGATTGTGTTGCTGATTTTAGAGCATGCACCATGTACAGATGAGAAGAATGTATTTTCTGCTGTTTTGTGGTGAAGTTTTCTGCACATGTCTATTAGGTCCATTTGGTCAAATGTTGTGCTCAGGTCATTAATATCTTGGTTAATTTTCTGCCTCAATGATCTATCTAATAAAGTCAGTGAGGTGTTGCTATCCTTCACTATTATTGTGTGGTTGTCCAAGTCTCTTCATTGGTCTCTAAAGACTTGCATTATGCACCTGAGTGTGCCTGTGTTGGGTGCGTACACATTTAGAATAGTTAGGTATTCTTGTTAAGCTGAGTCTTTCACCATTGTATGATGCCCTACTTTGTCTTTTTTATTTTTGTTGGTTTAAAGTCTGTTTTGTCTGAAATTAGAATAGCCACCCCTGATTTTTTCTGCTTTCCATTTGCTTGGTAGATTTTTCTCTATTCTTTTACTTTGAGCCTATGGCTGTCATTAAATATGAGAATATCAGATGGGTTTTTCTGAAGACAGCGTAGAGTTGGGTCTTACTTCTTTAATCCAACTTGCCACCCTGTGACTTTTACTTAGGGCATTTAGCCCACTTAACATTCATGTTTAGTATTGATATATGCCGATTTGTTCCTGTCATCATGTTGTTAGCTGGTTATTATGCAGACTTGTTTGTATGATTACTTTCTAGGGCCACTGGTCTATGTACTTAAGTGTGTTTTTGTAGTGGCCAATAATGGTCTTTCCTTTCCAGTTTTAGCACTTCCTTCATGATTTCTTGTAAGACAGGTCTGGTGGTAACAAATACGTTTAATTTTTTTTTTTTTTTTTTTTTTTGGTCTGAAAAGGATATTATTTCTCCTTTACTTAAAGCTTATTTTGGCTGGATATGAACTTCCTGATTGGAAGCTGTTTTCTTTAATAATGTTGAATAGGCCGGGCGCAGTGGCTCACGCCTGTAATCCTAGCACTTTGGGAGGCCGAGGTGGGTGGATCACGAGGTCAGGAGCTCGAGACCATCCTGGCTAACACAGTGAAACCCTGTCTCCACAAAAAAAAAAAAAAAAAAAAAAAAAATTAGCCGGGTGTGGTGGTGGGCACTGTAGTCCCAGCTACTCAGGAGGCTGAGGCAGGAGAATGGCATGAACCCAGGAGGTGGAGCTTGCAGTAAGCCGAGATCATGACACTGCACTCCAGCCTGGGCGACAGAGCGAGACTCCATCTCAAAAATAAAATAAAATAAAATAAAATAAAATAAAATAAAATAAAATAAAATAAAATAATGTTGAATAGAGGGGCTCATTTTCTTTTGCATTACATGTTTCTGCTGAAAGGTCTGCTGTTAGCCTGATTGGGTTCCCTTTGTAGGTGGCCTGCCACTTCTCTCTAGCTGCTTTGAACATTTTCTTTTTCTTTCATTTTGAACTTGGGAAATCTGATGACTATGTGACTTGGCCATTGTCTTCTTGTGTAGTATTTTTCAGGGGTTCTCAGTGTTGCCTGAATTTGAAGGTTGGCCTCTCTAGCAAGGTTGGGGAATTTTCATGGGCTATATCCTGAAATATGTTTTCCAAGTTGCTTTTTCTCTCTCCCTCTCTGTCAGAGACGCCAATAAGTAGTTGACTTGGTCTCTTTACATAATCCCATATTTCTTGGAGGTTTTATTTATTCTTCTTTATTTTTTTTTCCTTATTTTTGTCTGACTGAGTTATTTTGGAGAACTGTTCTTTGAGGTCTGAGATTCTTTCCTCAGGTTGGTTGATTCTTCTGTTAATACTTGCAATTTTATTCTGAAATTCTTAGGTGAGTTTTTCAGCTCTATCAGCTTAGTTTTATCCTTTCATAAAAATGACCATTTTGTCTTTCCTCTCCTGTATCATTTCATCATATCTCTTAGAAACATTGGATTGGGTTTTGACTTTCTCCTGAATGTCGATGATCTTCATTCCTATTCATATTCAAAAATCTATGTTTGTCATTTCAGCGATTTCAGCCTGGGTAAGAACAATTGCTGCAGAACTAGTGCAATTGTTTGGAGGTAAAAAGACACTCTGGCTTTTTGAGTTTCTGGAGATCTTGAACTGGTTCTTTCTCATCTGTGTGGTCTAATGTTCCTTCAGTCTTTGAAGTTGTTGTCCATTGGAATTTTTTTTCTTTTCTTTTATCTTCTTTGATGTCCTTGGGTATTTGATTGTGGTATGAGATGGGTTTATTTGGCTGTCTTCATTTCTGGTAGACTTTTGGGGGGCCAATGCCTGGGCTGAGTGCTGTAATTCTGGGAGGCTAGTATCAGGCTCCTGGCTTTGTTTTCTGGCCCCTTGAGGTTGGGAAACTGCTGCACTGGTGGGTCTGAGGTCTTCCCAGATTACTGGCCACAACAATCTGAAGGGTTGTGCCAGCCAAAGCTCTTCCATTGGTTGCAGCAGTGAGAACTGTGATCATTTGCACTTTAGCAGCAGCAGTGCAGTGAATTGCATGCTCCTCAGCTTGTCAGGGTGCTAGTGATCTTAGGGCTGCTGGATTCTGTGCCAGTGTTGGCAGTAATGGGAGAGGCAGTGCTTGGGGAAAGGAGAAGAGAGGAATTGGGGCCTCTGGGGTCCACGTGTACCTTGCTACCAGTGATAGTGTCAGCGCAGAGGAGGGGCGCTAGCAGACGCTGGGTGGGCAATCACTGTGTGTGCTTTAATGCTAGCCCAGATGGCTGTGCAGGGTGGGGGTCAGGGACAGTGGTGTCTGTGCATGTGTTTTCACTGGCAATGGTGGCATGGTGGCATGGCAGCAGGGATGGTGGCAGTACTCATCTTAGCAACAATGCCTAGGAGGGGTGCACATAAACCCACATGCCAACAGGGAAGGTGAGGCAAGGTTTGCCCATGCGCAAGCTAAGTGATGGGGGAGTGGTCATGGGCAAGTATGTGCTGGCAAAGTGGCACAGTGAGGGCTGTGTTGAGGGGAGGGAGCTGGTGGGCTGGTGCCTGTCAGTGGAGGCCACTCTGCTGGATGTCCCCAAAGGTCAGGTATGATCTGGTAGTGCAGAAACGATAATGCGGGTCCCCAGGAAGCACCCAGGTTGGCTATACTAGGCTGCACTGCAAGCAGAAATGGCCAGGCTGGGGACCCAGGAGAGGCCAGTGGACTGAAGGGTGCTCATGTTACACTGTCTCCATTACATGGGCAAGATTGCTGTGCTCTGTTTGGGTGCAACAGTTCCCCTAAGGGTAGAGTCTCCCAGGGGAGCAAGGGTAGTCTTGGGTGATGGACTTCCCTGGTCATGCTCCCCTGCAAATATTCTCACACCAAACCCCCTGGGTTCCACACATGCTGGAGTCTTGCCCATGCCACCTCCCTAAGTGGCTCTCCCTGCCAGTTTAAGTGTCCCAAGCAGTCATGGGGTCTCATGCTGGCAGGATTCCAGACGCCTGTGGGAATAGCAGGTCATGCCTTGCCTGCTCAACTCACCGCTTTCCCAGGAGTCACTGGGGGCCAGGAATGAGTACCGGAGCATGGTAGCCCTGTGCAGGGTTCCCAACTTCCTCTTCCTTCAGCCCATCATCTGTGTCCTCCTTCTGTTCACTGTTAACTGCTTCCTTCCAGAGATCTGCTCGAGGTGCAGCAGTCTTCCCGGTTTCCCAGTATCTTGGTGGCAGATGTTCCTCCTAGCTGCCTGTAGTCAGCCATCTTGTCTCCATAGTTATTTAACTTCAAAAATATTCAAAATATTTTCATGAATGACATTTTGTGCTCTAAAAATGTTCAGCTTTTTTAAAATTTTACTTTAAGTTCTGGGATACATGCACAGAATGTGTATGTTTGTTACATAGATATACATGTGCCATGGTGGTTTGCTGCACCTATCAACCCATCATCTAGGTTTTAAGCCCCACATGCATTAGGTATTTGTCCTAATGCTCTCCCTCCCCTTACCCGCCATGCCCCAACAGGCCCATATGTGTTATGTTCCTCTCCCTGTGTCCATGTGTTCTCATTGCTCAACTCCCACTTATGAGTGAGAACATGTGGTGTTTGGTTTTCTGTTCCTGTGTTAGTTTTCTGAAAATGATGGCTTCCAGCTTCATCCGTGTCCCTGCAAAGGACATGAACTTATTCTTTTTAATGTCTGCATAGTATTTCATGCTGTATATGTACCACATTTTCTTTATCCCGTCTATCTTGGATGGGCATTTGGATTGCTTCCAAGTCTTTGCTATTGTAAATAGTGCTGCAATGAACATATGTGTGCATGTGTCTTTATAGTAGAATGATTTGTAATCCTTTGGGTATATACCCAGTAATGGGATTGCTGGGTCAAATGGTATTTCTGGTTCTAGATCCTTGAGGAATTGCCACACTGTCTTCCACAATGGTTGAACTAATTTACACTCCCACCAATGGTGTAAAAGTGTTCTTGTTTCTCCACATCGTCTCCAGCATCTGTTGTTTCCTGACTCTCCATTCTAACTGATCTCCATTCTAACTGGTGTGAGGTGGTATCTCATTGTGGTTTTGATTTGCATTTCTTTAATGACCAGCGATGATGAACTTTTTTTTCATGTGTTTGTTGACTGCATAAATTTCTTCTTTTGAGAAGTGTTTGTTCATATCCTTCACCCATTTTTGATGGTGTTGTTTGTTTTTTTCTGGTAAATTTGTTTAAGTTCCTAGTGGATTCTGGATATTAGATCTGTGTCAGATGGGTAGCTTGCAAAAATTGTTTCCCATTCTGTAGGTTTCTGGTTCACTCTGATGATTGTATCTTTTGCTGTGCAGAAGCTCTTTAGTTTGAATAGATACCATTTGACAATTTTGGCTTTTGTTGCAATTGCTTTTGGTGTTTTAGTCATGAAGTCTTTGCCCATGGCTATGTACCAAATGGTGTTGCCTAGGTTTTCTTCTAGGGTTTTTGTGGTCTTGGGTTTTACATTTATGTCTTTAATCCATCTTGAATTAATTTCTCTATAAGGTATAATGAAGTGGTTCAGTTTCTGTTTTCTGCATATGGTAAGCCAGTTTTCCCAGCACCATTTATGAAATAGGGAATCTTTTCCTATTGCTTGTTTTTGGCAGGTTTGTCAAATATCAGATGGTTGTAGATGTGTGGTGTTATTTCTGAAGTTTCTGTTCTGTTCCATTGGTCTATGTATCTGTTTTGGTACCTGTAACATACTGTTTTGGTTACTGTAGCCTTGTAGTATAGTTTGAAGTCAGGCAGCATAATGCTTCCAGCTTTGTTCTTTTTGCTTAGGATCATTTTGGCTATATGGAATCGTTTTTTGCTTTCATATGAATTAAAGTAGTTTTTTTCCTAATTCTGCAAAGAAAGTCAATAGTAGCCTTATGGGGATAGCATTGAATCTATAAATTAATTTGGGGAGTAGGGCCATTTTCACAATACTGATTCTTCCTATCGATGATCATGGAATTTTTTTCCTTTGGTTTGTGTCATTTCTTATTTCCTTGAGCAGTTGTTTGTAGTTCTCCTTGAAGAGATGTTTCATGTCCTTTGTAAGTGGTATTCCTAGGTATTTTATTCTCTTTGTAGCAATCGTCAATGGGAGTTCACTCTTGATTTCGCTCTCTCCTTGTCTATTGTTGGTGTATAGGAATGCTTGTAATTTTTGCACATTGATTTTGTATCCTGAGACTTGCTGAAGTTGCTTAACAGCTTAAAGAATTTCTGGGCTGAGACAATGGGGTTTTCTAAATATACAATTATGTGGTCTGCAAATAGAGACAATTTGACTTCCTCTCTTCCTATGTGAATACACTTTATTTCTTCCTCTTGCCTGTTAATTTCCAAGTACTGGCCAGTACTTCCAATACTATGTTAAATAGGAGTGGTGAGAAAGGTCATCCTTGTCTTGTGCCACTTTTTAAAGGGAATTCTTCCAGCGTTTGCCCATTCAGTGTGATATTGGCTATGGGTTTGTCATAAATAGCTCTTACTATTTTGAGATATGTTCTATCAATACCTAGTTTATTGAGAGTTTTTAGCATGAATGGGTGTTGAATTTTATTGAAGGCCTTTTCTGCATATATTCAGATAATTGTGTGTTTTTGTCATTGATTCTGTTTATGTGATGGATTACCTGTATTGATTTGTGTATGTTGAACCAGCCTTACATACCAGAGATGAAGCCAACTTGATTATGATGGATAAGCTTTTTGATGTGCTGCTGGATTTTGTTTGCCAGTCTTTTACTGAGGATTTTCACATCGATTTTCACATCAATGTTCATCAGGGATATTGGCCTGAAATTTTCTTTTTTGTTGTGTCTCTGCCAGGTTTTGATATCAGAATGATGCTGGCCTCATCAAATGAGTTAGGGAGGAATCCCTCTTTTTCTATTGTTTATAATGGTTTCAGAAGGAATGGTACCAGTTCCTTTTTTGTACCTCTGGTAGAATTTGGCTGTGAATTTGTCTGATCCTGGGCTTTTTTTTTGGTTGGTAGGCTATTAATTACTGCCTCAATTTGAGAACTTGTTATTGGTCTATTCAGGGATTTTTATAGGGATTTGTTAGTCTAGCTAGTGGTCCATCTATTTTGTTAATCTTTTCCAAATAAACGGCTCTTGTATTCATTGATTGTTTGAAGGGTTTTTCGTGTCTCTATCTCCTTCAGTTTTGCTCTGATCTTAGTTATTTCTTGTCTTTTGCAAGCTTTTGAATTTGTTTGCTCTGCTTCCCTAGTTATTTTAATTATGATGATAGAGTTTTAGATATTTCCCACTTTCTGATGTGCACATTTAGTGCAATTAATTTCCCTCTTAACACAGCTTTAGCTATGTCCCAGAGATTCATTGTCTCTTTGTTCACATTGGTGTCAAATAACTTTTTTATTTCTGCCTTAATTTTGTAATTTATGCAGTAGTCATTCAGGAGCATGTTAATTTCCAAGTAGTTGTGCAGTTTTGAGTGAGTTTCTTAATCCTGAGTTCTAATTTGATTGCACTGTGGTCTGATAGACTGCTTATTATGATTTCTGTTCTTTTGCATTTGCTGAGGATTGTTCTACTTCCAATTATGTGGACGGTTTTAGAATAAGTGATATGTGGCGCTGAGAATAATGTATATTCTGTTGATTTGGTGTGGAGAGTTCTGTAGATGTCTGGTAGGTCCAGTTGGTAATGAGCTGAGTTTATCTCCTAAATATCCTTGTTAATTTTCTGTCTCAATCTGTCTAATATTGACAGTGGGGTGTTAAAGTCTCCCACTATTATTGTGTGGGAGTATAAGTCTCTTTGTAGATCTCTAAGAACTTGTTTTATAAATCTGGGTGCTCCTCTTTTGGGTGCATATGTATTTAAGATAGTTAGTTCTTGTTGCATTGATCATTTTACCATTATATAATGCCCTTCTTTGTCTATTTTGATCTTTGTTGTTTTAAAGTTTGTTTTATCAGAGACTAGGATTGCAACCCCTGCTTTATTTTCCTTTCCACTTGCTTGGTAAATATTTCTCCATCCCTTTATTTTGAGCCTATGTGTGTCTTTACACATGAGATGGGTCTTCTGAATACAGCACATTGATGGGCCTTGACTCTTTATCTGATTTGCCAGTCTGTGTCTTTTAATTGGGGCATTTAGTCCATTTACTTTTAAGGTTAATATTGTTATGTGTGAATTTGATCATCTTGTCATGATGCTACATTACTTGATGCAGTTTCTTCATAGTGTAATTAGTCTTTATATTATGGTATTCTTGCAGTGGCTGGTAATGGTTTTTCCTTTCCATATTTAGTGCTTCCTTCAGGAGCTCTTATAAGGCAGGCCTGGTGGTGACAAAATTCCTCAGCATTTGCTTATCTGGACAGTATTATATTTCTCCTTTGCTTATGAAACTTAGTTTGGCTGGATATGAAATTCTGGGTTGAAAATTCTTTTATTTAAGAATGTTGAATATTGGCCCCCACTCTCTTCTGGCTCGTAGGGTTTCTGCAGAGAGATCTGCTGTTAATCTGGTGTGCTTCCATTTGTAGGTAACATGACCTTTCTCTCTGGCTCCCCTTAACATTTTTTGCTTTCTTTTCAGCCTTGGAGACTCTGATGATTATGTATTTTGGGGTTGTTCTTCTCAAAGAGTATCTTAGTGGTGTTCTCTGTATTTCCCAAATTTGAATGTTGGACTGTCTTGCTAGGTTGGGGAAGTTTTCCTGGATAATACTGTGAAATGTGTTTTCCAACTTGGTTCCTTTCTCCCTGTCTCTTTCAGGTACACCAATAAATCGTAGGTTTGGTCTTTTCACATAGTCCTGTATTTCCTGGGGCTTTGTTCATTCCTTTTCATTCTTGTTTTTCTAAGCTTGTCTTCACACTTTATTTCAGTAAGTTGATCTTCATTCTCTTATATCCTTTCTTCTGCTTGATCGATTCGGCTATTGATACTTGTGTATGCTTCACGAAGTTCTTGTTCTGTGTTTTTCAGCTCCACCAGGTCCTTTATGTTACTCTATAAACTGGTTATTCTAGTTAGCGGTTTCCTATACCTTTTATCATTGTTCTTAGCTTCCTTGCATTGGGTTAGAACATGCTCCTTTAGCTCAGAGGAGTTTGTTATTACCCACCTTCTGAAGCCTACTTTTGTCAATTCGTCAAACTCATTCTGTCCAGTTTTGTGCCCTTGCTGGAGAAAAGTTGCAATCATCTGGAGGAGAAGAGGTATTCTGGTTTTTGAAATTTTCTGCGCTTTTGCTCTGTTTTTTCCTCATCTTTGTGGATTTATCTACGTTTGTTCTTTGAGGCTGATGACCTTTGGTTGAGATTTTTGTGTGGGAGTCCTTTATGTTGACGTTGATCTTGTTGCTTTCTGTTTGTTAGCTTTTCTTCTAATAGTCAGGCCTCTTCTGCAGGTCTGCTGCAGCTTGCTGGAGTTCCAATCCAGACGTTGTTCACCTGGGTATCACCAGTGGAGGCTGCAGAACAGCAAAGATTGCTGCCTGCTCCTTTCTCTGGAAGATTCGTCCCACAGGGGCACCAGCCTGATGCCAGCCAGACCTCTTCTGTATGAGGTGCCTGTCCACCCCTGTTGGGAGGTAGCTCCCAGTCAGGAGGCACAGGGGTCAGAGACCCACTTGAGGAGGCAGCCTGTCCCTTAGCAGAGCTGGTACGCTGTGCTGGGAGAATCCTTCTTGTCAGAATCAGCTTCTCCCTTTAGAGCCAGCACACAGGGATGATTTAATCTGCTGTGGCTGGGCCCACAGTCACCCCCTTCCCCGAGGTGCTCTGTCCCAGGGAGATGGGGGCTTTGTCTATAAGCCCCTGACTGGGGCTGTTACTTTTCCTTCAGAGATGCCCTGACCAATGAGGAGGAATCTAGAGAAGCAGTCTGGCCACAGTCACTTTGTTGCGCCCAGCCCAGACCTCCCAGCCTCCTTAGCACTGTCAGGGGAAAACCACCTACTAAAGCCTCAGTTATGGTGCCCCTCCCCTAACCGAGTTCGATTATCCCAGGTCAACTTCAGACTGCTACACTGGCAGCGAGAATTTCAAGCCAGTGGTTCTTAGATTGCTGGGCTCCGTGGGAGTGGGACCTGCTTGGCGAGACCTCTTGGCTCTCTGGCTTCAGCCCCCTTGCCAGAGGAATAAACAGTTCTGTCTTTCTGGGGTTCCAGGCACCACTGGGGTATGAAAGAAAAAAAAAAAAACTCCTGCAGCTAGCTTGGTGTCTGCCCCAACAGCTGCCCAGTTTTGTGCTTGAAACTGAGGGCCCTGGAGGTGTAGACACAAGAGGGAATCTCCTGATCTGCAGATAGATTGCAAAAACTGTGGGAAAAGTGTAGTAACCCAGCTGGGTAGCACAGTCCCTCACAGCTTCCCTTGGCTGGGGAAGGGTGGTCCCCCAGCTCCTTGCACTTGCCGTGTGACGTGATGTCCCACCCTGCTTCTGCTCACCCTCCATGGGTTGGACCCACTGCCTAACCAGTCCCAATGAGATGAACTGGGTACATCAGTCAGTAATGCAGAAATTACCTGCCTTCTGCACTGGTCTCACTGGGAGCTGCAGACCAGAGCTGTTCCTATTTGGCCATCTTGGCCCCCACCATGATATGAAATGTTTAGCTTTAATAATACCAATCAAAACTGATTTTTATTTACTCATTTCAGACAATTTTATCTTAATAAGAGATAACTTATAGATTTCCATGCCCTTCAGAAAAAAAAAATCCAAAAGGACCATTATTTACATTTTTAAAATTTTAATTCATTTCATTCTAATTAATTCTGGAAAAAAAGATTACACTGAATATAGCCATAAGTGAAGTGAGAAGTATTTTCATCAATGATATTGCCATTAACTCTCAAAGGATTCTGGCTAGCTCATTTTCCTCTGTCTCTAGAAAATCCTTCCCCATTATGACCAGGACAACATCACATATGTCCTACAACAGCAATAAGAGGAATAGCTTAAGATTACATTTATGTTTTTCAGCACACAGTGTTCTCAGGTTTCCCAGTTTGTGCACTTTGTGAGGTTTCTCTGTGATCTTTCATTTATTTGTACATTGACTATGAATATTTTTAATTCAAGTCCAAACTTGTTCCTCAGGACAGAATAGGACGAGGAAAATTAATGAAGCTTAAATGCGTTTATGTGTTTTTCACCTCTGCAAAGAAGCAATCTTTGATTTTAAATCTGGTATCACTCTATGAAGAATGTCCACAAAAGATTCTGGATAAGAAATATAGAAAGAAAAAGACCTGAGTAAAATCTGAATGTCAGCTAAATTGGTTTTCTGCCTTTTCACACCTCCATTTTGACCAATTCCTATTTCCAATTTCTTTTCTGTGCTTTCCATTTTTCTCTGGACAACTCACACTTTGAATTGAACTTCCTAGCCCAGACTTTTTAGCCTATCCTTCAGCTTCAAACTGAAGGTCCAATACATATTTAGCCTACTCCCTGTATTCTATTTAGTATTAAGGTCCTGAAACTACATCCCAGTGAGGTTAAAAGTTAGTTCATTGATACAAAGATTTGTGTGTTTCATGGATCAGTAAAATGAAACAACAACGAAATACCAAGAGGACCAATATATGTTTGCTAACTTTTTATTTTAATATACAAAGCTATGAAAAACATAGACACACACACACGTATACTCAAACACATAAACCTATACCCCTATTATATAAGTAACAGCTAATATCTAACATGCCATTAACATGTGTAAAGCACTTCACATGCATTAACTCAGGTAATAATCATAATAATCATATGAAAATGATACCATTATTAATCATACTATAGAGCTGAGAAAAGTTTTAGAAAGATTTAATCACTTGCACAAGTTGCAAAATTAAAAGTAGGTGTTGTGTAACCAAGATAGCCTGAAACCAGGGCCTTGCTTTTTAATTAATATGCCAAAACCTCTCCTCCAGACAAAATGGAATATATTGTCTTCCACATAGATTGTTATTTCATAAAAGAATAATTCATTAACACCAAAATAGCAGAAATTATAATTTAAAATAATGGAGTATATTAAATAGACTATATCTAGCTTTATGAAAAATAACTAATTGATTTTGTTACTGACAAGTGAAATCTTTATTAGTGACAAGCACTTACAAATTGTTGTGTTAGCTCATTTTTGTGACTTCTATTAAGAACGTCCTAGAAGCAGATTCTGGATTGGTAGCACACAGGAATGAATCTAATGGTAGAATAGCAGATCAGTAGATTCCCTTAAAGTATACCTTAAATATGCAACTGCCTACTTAACTTGAGGATATTGTGGTGTGGAAATAATAGTCTTTAGATGAATTAACTTTGTATAAATTCTGTTTCTACTACCAGACTACCTCCTCCTACTTCATACACTGTTTTAAAAATTGAGTTACATAATAAAAGTAAAGCACTTATCAAAGGGCTTTAAACATAAAAATGACCTGTTTTAAATATAACACTTAAATTCAAGTCAGTTAATCTTTGTATACATCAGTTTCCTCAAAGGTAAAAGGAGAAAAAGTCACTGCTTAAAGATTCTATTATTTTGAAACAAAAATTACAGGATTTTGCTGACGGATATCTCTCTCACAGTGAATATTATTTAAAAAAAAAAAGAAAGAAAATCACTGTTTTGAACAAGACAGTTTTCACTTAAGAAAATAAGTTTCTTAAGTTCCCAAAATAAGAGAGTTTGAACATTTATAATCAGATAACCTGGAATGTCTAAATTGTAGCTTGAAAAGGACTTCAGACAAGATCAAATCTTTTTCTTTTTACTGATGAGGAGACTGAGAACCACAGAAGTTAAATGACAACTAGTTATTGACAGAGCTAGGACTTCTTGAATCTCTGTGACAATATTTTTCCCACTATACCAAATCTCTTAATTTACCTTACTAGTTATCTAAAATTTTGTCAGAAATTAAAGATAGTGAAAATTATTTAATCCATAGGATTTTAGAACCTTGCATGATTTTTAATTATGTAAGATAGATAAAATTGGGTAAAGTAGTTTCTGCGGCTGAACTTGCAATTTTACCTTTCCCAGTGCTATAAGGCTTATTACTGGATTTACATGGCCCTTATATTTTATCCCATAAAAATATGCTGGGTATATTTACTTAAATAGATCACCTCTTGGTAGGTATTACAGTCAACTCAGAGTGCAATCACTCTGTAATATTGAAATTGGATTGGACTTTGTGGAGTTTAGCATCTTTTTAGTGTTTATTTGGAACATTCTGAAGCAGCAATTAAAATAATTAAGGAGGGTGAAGAAATCTTTAGCATGCAACAAAGATTTCTGCAAAATGTTAATTTCTGTCAAATAAGTGAATCTAGGCACAGATGCCTCCTGACAGAGGCTGTGATTTCAAAATGCTTTGCATGCCAAATAACTTGTTTACCCCCTTAATGTTTGCCAAGTTTACTGTCAGTTTACAAATAATTTCCATTTTGCTGTTTATTCCACTGCCTTTTGATAGATACGTCTTCCAGACTTTTATCTTGCATGTAGACAAACTAATTAATATTTTCCCTTCAGGCAAATATTTTTTTCTTAGATCTAAATGTCGGTTAGATTTGTCTTCATTTCCATATGCTTTGTTCTGTCAATCATCTATGTTCTGTGTTTCTAAAAATATACCTCAGTGGATGTAATTTTCCATGTTGTACTAGACACACACATGCACGCAACTTATCTCTCAGTGTATACATGTAGACATATAACATAGATGCCATTGAAAAAAACACTTTTGTGATAATATGGAAATCTGAGAAATCAACTTTCAAAATAGGAAATATCATACCTAAAATCAGCTTGTGGCACTTTTATAGCTCTATTATTCTTGGCCATGTATGTATTAAAATTCAAGGCACCCCACTTCACTGAGGCTCCAAATCAAAATTATATAATGTCTCTTAATACCTGTGTTTATTTATGACATCCTTGAAAATGAAAACAGAATTATGTACAAACACAGGTGAGTCCTAAAGGTAGAGAAGAAGAGAGTTTATGCCACCTGAAAACATTTAGTCAAATACAAAATGGTGAAATGATGCTTTCTTTTTTATTTCCAACTTTTATTTTAAGTTTACAGGGTACATGCATAGGTTTATTATGTGGGTAAATTAATATTGCAGGGGTTTTCTGTACAGATTATTTTGTCGCCCGGGTAGTGCGGATAGTAGACAATAGGCAGGGTTTTTTTAATTTATGTATTTATTTATTTATTTATTTATTTTTGATACGGAGTCTCTCTGTCGCCAGGCTGGAGTGCAGCGTTGCCATCTCCGCTCACTGCAACCTCCATCTCCTGGGTTCAAGCGATTCTCCTGCCTCAGCCTCCCAAGTAACTGGGATTACAAGCATGTGTCACCACTCCCGGCTAATTTATTGTATTTTAGTAGAGATGGGGTTTCAGCATGTTAGCCAGGATAGTCTCGATCTCGACCTCATGATCCACCCTCCTCGGCCTCCTAAAGTGTCGTGTTTACAGGCGTGAGCCACTGCACCCAGCTGACAATAGGCAGTTTTTTGATCCTCGCTCTCCTCTCACCCTTCACTCTCAAGAAAGCTCTGCTGTCTATTGTTTCCTTCTTTGTGTCCACGTGTACTCAATATGTAGCTCCCACTTATAAGTGGTAATATGTGATATTTGTTTTTCTGTTCCTGTGTGTTAATTTGCTTAGGATAATGGCCTCCAGCTCCATCCATGTTGCTACATAGGATATCATTTCATTGGTTTTTCTGTGGCTGCATAGTATTCCATGGTGTATATTTACCAAATTTTCTTTTTTTTTCTTCTTTAATTTTTAAAAATTTTTGATTGATACATAGTAGGTGTATATATTTATGGGGTATATGAGATACTTTGGTACAGGCATGAAATAAGCAATAATCACATCATGAAAATGAGGTATCCATCCCCTCTAGCATTTATCCTTTGTGTTATAAACAATACAATTATACTCTTTTAGTCATTTTAAAATTTACAATTAAGTTATTACTGACTATAGTCACCCTGTTGTGCTATCAAATGGTATGTCTTACTCATTATTTCTATTTTTTTCTGTACATTAACCATCCCTACCTCCCCTACAGCCCCTCACTATCCTCAGCCTCTGGTTAACAGTCCTTGTATTCTCAATCTTCATAAATTCAATTGTTTTGATTTTTAGCACTCACAAATAAGTGAGAACATAAGGAGTTTGTCTTTCCATGACATGATGACCTCCAGTTCCATCCACGTTTTTGCAAACAACAGGATATCATTATTTTATTGTTTATAGCTGCATAGTATTTAATTTTGTATATGTACCATCTTTTCTTTGTCTAGTACACCACTGATGAGCATCTAGGCTGATTTGATGTCTTTGCTATAATGAATAGTGCTGTGATGAACAGACTAATGCAAGTGTCTTTATGGCAGAGTAATCTATATTCCTCTGGGTATACACCCAGTAATGGAATTGCTCGGTCAAATGGTAGTTCTGTTTTAAGTTATAATTGAACACATTTTCTATGAGTAAAAATCTACTAGCTCTAAAAGAGCTATTGTTTTATTTTTTTCTTTCAAATTTTATTTTACATTCTGGGAGTACATGTGCAGGATTGATACATTGGTAAATTGTGTGTCATGGAGGTTTGGTCACCCAGGTAATCAGCATAGTACCTGATAGGTAGTTTTTCAACCCTCACCATCCACCCATGCTTTACCTACAAGTAGGCTCCGGTGTCTATTGTTCCCTTCTTTCTGTCCATGTGTACTCAGTGTTTAGCTCACACTTATATGTGAGAGCGTGTGATATTTGATTTTATGTTCCTGCATCAATTTGCTTAGGATAATGGTCCCCAGATTCATCAATGTTGTTGCAAAGAACATAATTTCATTATTTATTATGGTGAGGTAGTATTCCAAGGTGAATATGTACCACATTTGCTTTATCCATTTCACTATTGATGGCCATCTAGGTTTATTCCATGACTTTGCTCTTGTGAATGGTGCTGCCGTGAAGATAGGCATGCTTGTGTCTTCATGGTAGAACTATTTATATTTATCTGGGTACACACTCAATAATGAAATTGCTTAGTCCTTTTAAGTTCTGTATTTTAAGTTATTTGAGAACTCTCCAGACTGCTTTCTACAGTGGCTGATCTAATTTACATTCCCACTAGCAGTGTATAACTGTTTTCTTTTCTCCACAACCTAGCCATCATCTGTTGGTTTTTGACTCTTTAGTAATAGCCATTCTGACTGCTGTGAGATTATATCTCATTGTGGTTTTGTTTGCATTTTCTTAACGATTACTGATATTGACATTTTTTCATACACTTTTTGGCTTCTTTTTAGAATGTTCTCTTCATGTTCTTCCCCCATTTATTATTGAGGTTGTTTACCTTTGCTTATTGATTTGTTTAAATTCCTTATAGAATATGGATATTAGATCTTAGTCAAATGCATAGTTTGCAAATATTTTCTCCCATTATGTAGGTTGTCTGTTTATAGTCTATCTGTTGATAGTTTCTTTTGCTGTGAGGATTCTCTTTAATTATGTCTTACTTGTCAATTTTTGAGTTAGTTGCAACTGCTTTCAGCATCTTTGTCATGAAGTGTTTGCCAGAGCCGATTACCAGAATGGTATTTCCTAGGTTTGCTTGTAGAGTTTTTATAGGTTTAGGTTTTACATTTAAGTATTTGATCCATCTTGCATTTATTTTTGTATATGGTAAAATGAGCGGGTCCAGTTTCAATCTTCTCCATATGGGTAGCCAGTTATCCCAGCACAATTTATTGAATAGGGACTCTTTCCCCATGGCTTACTATTGTCAGCTTTCTTGAAGATCAGATGGTTTTAAGTGTGTGGCTTTATTTCTCAGTTCCCTAAACTCTTGCATTGGTCTATATGTTTGTTTTTGTACCAGTACCACACTGTTTTGGTTAGTGTAGCCTTGTAGTATCATTTTAAGTCACATAGAGTGATGGCTCCAGCTCTATTCTTTTTGTTTAAGATTTATTTGGCTCTTTGGGCCCTTTATTGGCTCCATATGTATTTTAAAATAGTTTTTTCTAATTTTGTGAAGAATCTCATTGGTAGTTTGATAGGAATAGCACTGAATCTGTAAATTGCTTTGGGCAGTATGGCCATTTTAACAATATTAATTCTCCTATTCATGAGCGTGGAATGTTTTTCCGTTTATTTGTGTCATCTCTGATTTTTCTGAGCAGTGTTTTATAATTCTTGTTGTAGAGAGCTTTCGCTTCTTTAGTTAGGTATTTTATTGTTTTTGTGGCTATTGTGAGCAGGATTGCATTTTTTATTTGACTCTCAGCATGGATGTTATTGGTGTATAGAAATGCTACTGATTTTTCAAAATTAATTTTGTGTACTGAAACTATGTTGAAACAGTTTATCAGATATAAAAGCCTTTGGACAGAGACTATGGGGTTTTCTTAATGTCAAATTATATTGTCTATGGAGAGAGATATTTTGACTTCTTCTTTTTCTATATAGATGCCTTTTATTTAATTGTCTTGCCTAATTGCTCTGGCTAGGATTTTCAGTCTTGTGTTGAATAACAGTAGCGAGAGTGGGGTTCCTTGTTTTGTTCTGGTCCTCAAGGGGAATGCTTCCAGCTTTTGCTCATTCTATATGATGTTTTCTGTGGGTTTTCATAGATAGCTCTTAATATTTTAAGTCATGTTCCTTCAATGCCTAGTTTGATGAGGGTTTTTAACATTAAGGAATGTTGAACTTTATCACAAGTCTTTTCTGCATCTATTGACATGATCGTAAGATTTTGGAGTTTAGTTCTGTTTATGTGGTGAATCTCATTTATTGATTTAAGTATGTCCAGTCAAACTTGCATCCCAGAAACAATGCTTACTTGATCATGGTAGATTAACATTTTGATGTGCTGTTGGAATTCAGTTTGCTAGTATTGTGATGAGAATATTTGCATTTATGTTTCTTAAGGATATTGGCCTAAAGATTTTTGTTTTTGTTTTTGTTGTTGTTGTTGTTGTGTCTCTGTCAGTGTTGGTATCACAGTGATGCTGGTCTCACAGAATGAGCATGGAAGGAGTCCCTACTCCTGTCTTTTGAAATAGTTTCAGTAGAATTGGTTTCAACTCTTCTTTATACATTTTGTTGAATTCAGCTGTGAATTCATTTGGTCAAGTCCTTTTTCTGGTTTGTAGGATTTTTATTACTGATTCAATTTAAAAACTCATTATTGTTCAGTTCAGGATTTCAATTTCTTCCTAGTTCAAGCTTGGGAGATTTTATGTTTCCAGGAATTTGTCTATTTTTTTTTTACATTTTCTGGTTTGTGTGCATAGAGGTATTCTTAATAGTCTTTGAGGGACTTTTGTTTTTTGTGGGGTTGTTGGTAATGTCTCTTTTGTCATTTCTGGTTGTCTTTATTTGAATTTTCTCTCTTTTTTCTTTCATAGTCTAGCTAGTGGTCTACCAATCTTATTTATTCTTTTGAAGAACAAACTTTTGTGTAGTTGATCTTTTGTATGTTTTATTTTTTCTCATCTCTCATTTAGTTTTGTTCTTGTTTCGATAATTTATTTTCCTCTGCCAGCTTTGGGGCTGGATTGCTCCTGTTTTTCTAGCTCAAGGCAGGCTATTGGGTTGCTAATTTTTGATCTTACTTTTTCATGTGTGCATTTATCACTATAAATGTGTTTCTTAATACTTTAGCTGTGTTCCATACTTTCTGGTATGTTGTTTCTTTGTTTTCATTATTTTCGTTTTTTTTTTTTAATTATACTTTAAGTTTTAGTGTACATGTGCACAACATGCAGGTTAGTTACGCATGTATACATGTTCCATGTTGGTGTGCTGCACCCATTAACTCCTCATTTAACATTAGGTATATCTCCTAATGCTATCCCTCCCTCCTCCCCCCACCCCACAACAGGCCCCAGTGTGTGATGTTCCCTTTCCTGTGTCCATGTGTTCTCATTGTTCAATTCCCACCTGAGTGAGAACATGTGGTGTTTGTTTTTTTGTCCTTGCGATAGTTTGCTGAGAATGATGGTTTCCAGTTTCATCCATGTCCCTACAAAGGACATGAACTCATCCTTTTTTATGGCTGCATAGTATTCCATGGTGTATATGTGCCACATTTTCTTAATCCAGTCTATCACTGTTGGACATTTGGGTTGGTTCCAAGTGTTTGCTATTGTGAATAGTGCCACAATAAACATACGTGTGCATGTGTCTTTATAGCAGCATGATTTATAATCCTTTGGGTATATACCCAGTAATGGGATTGCTGGGTTGATTTCTTCCTTAGTTTCATTGCTTCCCCAAAAGTCATTCAAAAGCAGGTTGTGTAATTTCATAATTTTGAGAAACCTTCTCAGTACTGATTTTTTTTTATTTTTTGAGGCAGTTTCACTCTTGTCTCCCAGCAGGGAACGCAATGGCACAATCTTGACTCATTGCAACCTCCGCCTCCCAGGTTCAAGCTATTCTCTTGCCTCAGCCTCCCAGGTAGCTGGGATTAGAGGCATGTGCCACCACACCTGGCTTTTCTTTTTTTTTTTTTTAGTAGAGACAGGGTTTCACCATGTTTCCCAAGGCTGGTCTTGAACTCCTGGCCTCAGGTGATCCACCCACCTTGGCCTCCCAAAGTGCTGGGATTACAGGCATGAGCCACCATGCTCCGTCTGATTTATATATATATATATTTTTTTTTATTTTATTGAGATTCTGATTGGTATTGTTTTGGTTTTCTTTTATATTTGATCAGAATTGCTTTATTTCCAAGCATGTGGTCAATTTTAGATTATGTGTTATGTGCAGAAGAAAAGAATGTATATTCTGTTCTTTTTGGGTAGAGTGTTCTGTAAATGTCTCTTCCATCTATTTGATCAAGTGTCAAGAGTTAAGTCCTCAATATGCTTGTTAGATTTTGTCTCCTTAGATGATGGAGGCAAAATGAGGGATGGTGTCTCTTGGAGTCAGACGGAAGTTGAAGTCTCCCACTATTATTGTTGTGTAGTTATCTAATTTTCTTTGCAAGTCTCTAGGAACTTGTTCTATAAACCTCAGTTCTCTAGTGTTGTTTGCATATATATTTAAAATAGTTAAATCTTGTTGAATTGAATTCTCTATTATTATGTAATGTTTTTCTTTTTCCTTTTTGATCGTTGTTGGTTTAAATGCTGTTTTGTCTGAAATAATATTAGCAAACCTGCTCTTTTTTGTTTTCTGTTTACTTGATAGATCTTTCTTTAGCCCTTTACTTAGAGCCTATGCGTGTCCTCTCATGTGAGATGTGTCTTTTGAAGAAAGCATACAGTTGGGTCTTGCTTCTTTATTGAACGTGCAATTTTGTGCCTTATAAATAGGGCATTTAACCTATTTACATTCAAGGTTAATATGAGTATTTGCAAATTTGATTTTGTCATGTTTTTAGCTGGTTGTTATGTGGACTTGATTGTATAGTTGCTTTATAGTGTCAATGGTCTATGTACATATGTGAATTTCTGTGTTGGCCTGTAATGGGTTTTCCCTTAGCACTCCCTTAAGGACCTCTAGTAAGGCATATCAGATCATAACAATTTCCATCAGCATTTGTTTCTCCTTTGCTTATGAATGATAGTTTGACTGAATATAATATTCTTGGTTGAAATTTCTTTTTTTTCTTAGAATGCTGACTATAGGCTCCAAGTCTCTGCTATTGTGAATAGCCGCAATAAACATACGTGTGCATGTGTCTTTATAGCAGCATGATTTATAATCCTTTGGGTATATACCCAGTAATGGGATGGCTGGTTCAAATGGTATTTCTAATTCTAGGCCCCTGAGGAATCGCCACACTGACTTCACACACCGGGGACTGTTGTGGGGTGGGGGGAGGGGGGAGGGATAGCATTAGGAAATATACCTAATGCTAAATGACTAGTTAATGGGTGCAACACACCAACATGGCACATGTATACATATGTAACAAACCTGCACGTTGTGCACATGTACCCTAAAACTTAAAGTATAATAAAAAAATAAAAAAAAGAATACTGACTATAGGCTCCTGCTCTCTTCTGGCTTGTAGAGTTTCTGCTGAAAAGTCTGCTGTCCGCCTGATGGGGTCCCCTTTGTAGCTGACCTTCCACTTCCCTCCAGTTGCCTTTAACATTTTTTTCTCTCACCTTGGCCTTGGAAAACCTAATTAATTACTATGTGGCTTGGGGATAGTCATCTTGTTATACTATCTTGCAAGGCTTCTCCAAATTTCCCAAATTTGAGTGCCAGCCTGTCTAGCAAGGTTGGGGAAAATTTTGTGTACAAAATTCTCAAATATATTCTCTGAGTTTCTTGCTCTCTCTCTTTCTCTTTCAGGGATAACAAGGAGTCATATGTTTTGTCTCCTTACTTAATCCCATATTTCTCAGAGGTTTTCTTAATTTTTTTTTTTATTCTTTTCTCTTTATTTTTGTCTGACTGAGCTAATTTGAAGAACTGGGCTTGGAGCACTGAAATTTTTTTCTCAGGTTGGTCTATTCTTCAATTAATACTTCTGATTGTACTATGAAATTCTGATAGTTTTTCAGCCCTATCAGATCAGTTTGATTCTTTCTTAAAATGGCTAGTCTTTCATCTCTTATATTGTTTTACTGGATTCTTTAGATTCCTTGCGTTGGATTTTAACTTTCTCCTGAATCTTTATAATCTTCATTGCCATTCAGATTCTGAAATCTACATTAGTCATTTAATCTTTTTCTCTCTGGTTCAGTACAATTGTTTGGAACTAGTGTAGAAATTTGCAGGTACAAAGATGT
Organism: Homo sapiens; assembly: GCF_000001405.40. Taxonomy (NCBI): domain Eukaryota; kingdom Metazoa; phylum Chordata; class Mammalia; order Primates; family Hominidae; genus Homo; species Homo sapiens. Next base: position 82,434,088 of record NC_000023.11, on the reverse strand, counting down.
TCTGGATTTTATAGTTGCCACAGTTCTTGTGCTGTTTTTTGTTTTGTTTTGCTGTTGTCTTGTTTTGTTTTGTTTTGTTTTCCCATCTTTGTGTTGTTGTTTCTTTACCTGTGGTGTAATTTGAGCATATTCAATTGACCTCTGTTTGTGACTGTTTTAAGAGAGCCAACGCTTTGGGGGAGGGTCTTTATTTGTGGCTGAATTGATGTTCTTGGATTCACAGGGGTGTATATTAGCAAAGTGGTTTTTGCATGGAACTGCTCTGAAACTGTGGGTTCCTCTCCCACTCAAGTTCTGGCCACTAATCTTGGCTTGGCACTCTCAGGCTGTGCACCACAGACCTGGGGCAAGCTCAGATGTTTTGTTCCCTCCTCAGCTTTGGGGCAGTGGTGGTGGTACTCTTGGCAGTGGTAATGTCAGAGGGTCTTTCACTTGTCTCTGGGGGCTCCACCCCTGAGAAATGCTGAGCTGCTGCCAATCAAAATGATTATACAGGGGCAGCTGTACTGTGAGCCCAAGCCTTTCAACTCTGCCTGGTGAAGAACAGAGGTGGCAGTGGACTTATGAGAAAGACAGTCTGGTCTCTTCTCTGTAGGGTGGCTGTGGCATGGTGGGGGTACAAGTAAAGCACTCAGGCTCTTTGTTGCATTCCCAGCCTGGTGACAGTGGTAGAGGGGTTGCCAGTTGCTTCTGAGAACTCCTCCTTAGAGAGAAACAGAGCCACTGCCAATGAGAATATTCAGCAAGGAGTGGAGATGCTGTGCTACAGGCCCAAGACGGTCATCCTGCCTGGTAAAAGGCAGGGCATCAGGGGCGCACAGAGAAGACTGACCCCTTCTCCATATGGCAGCTGCGGTGTGCTGAAGGTGCAAGCAAAGTGATCAAGGTTTTTGTTGCTCTACAGCCCAAGGATAGCAAGGTCGTGGTAGTGGTGGAGGTATCAGTTCCCAGGGATGAAACTTCCAGAGTCAGTTGCCTCTGAGAACTTTAGCCCAGAGTGACACAGAGCTCCCGCCAATGGGAATGTTCAGCCAAGGGTAAGACAGCTGCAGTGTGGGCCCAAGCTGGGCACACATGCTGCCTTGTTTCTTGTGTGGAAAACAGTCTGGCTGCTTTTCCATATGGCAGCTCTGGTGTGCTGAAGGTGGCCTACAATAATTCTTCTCTTCATTCCTTCCCTAGCCTGATGGCAGTAGGCTGGAGCAATGGCAATAGCTTAGGCCTGTCAGTTACCTCTGGGAGCTCAGTCTCAGAGAAATGCAGAGCTGCAACTGGCCCAAGTGCTCAGCTGTGGGTGGGGTGGCTATGCTGGGGTTCCAGGCCAGTGGGCTTTGCTCGGTGCAGTGCAGCGGAGGCAAGACCTAGAGGCTGTCTGCTCCTCAACACCATTGATATGTCCCCTCTTCTGGAGGCATGTGAGAGAGCCTGGCATCCCTTTTTGGTGGGGCTATGGCAGCTGGAGCTGGGATTCTCAGGGATGCAAGATCTTTGGGCTTCCATGTGGGCCTGAATGATGTCTTTGCCCAGAATGCACACTGCTCTCCATTTCAGTCTAGAGGCCCCAGGGGCAGGGGAAGGAGGATCTTATGCACCCAGGATTCAAGAGTCCATGGAATAAAGTGTATGGTTCCTAGGGGCTCTTGCTGAGTCACCATTTTTCATGGTGGGGTTTCTCCCTGCAGTCTGTGCCAGTCCTGGGTGGGCAGCTGTCCTGTCTCACTCCTCTCTGATCTCTGTGTGTCATGTTGCTTCCCTAATGAATCCCAACGTGTCCTCCTGGATAATCCAGTTGAAGAGGTAATGTTTACTGCCTGTATGTTTTCTCAGTGACAGCAGCACACACTAGCTGCTTCTAGTCAGCATCTTTACACTTCCTCAGAGCTATTATTTTAATGTGAAGAGCTTATGTATTTTGTGTTTGTGCAAATGCCTGAAGTGGATTTTGATAAGTGATGTAAATATCTACGTAAGAGTGTTGCACACAAAGCTATATATGAAGAACAAACATAATTATTCATATTTCTTAGATCTAGAAAAATAATGACATATCTGTCCCAGTAATATGTGATTACCTCTTCTTTTAACATGCTGTGCAAGCTTGTAAAATAAACAAGCCAACAAAGCATTGCTAATTTGGATTTTTGCTTAATTTATAATATTATATAGAGAGACCAGATTTTCAAAATAAATGTGGCCTCTCTACATAATATTCGAAATTAAGCAAAAATCCCGATTTATCTGCTTATGTAAAATTTACATAAATAGTATATATGAAACACCTAAAGTTATTTCTTATGAATGTTTTCCCGTTACCATCGCCAGTTAAGTTTCAGGAAATAAAACTACGGGATCCTGAAAATTCAAATGTAGCAGCTGCACAAATTAATATAACTCTTCAGCAGGTGCCAAGAAATTTGCTCATTTATACTACAAGGAGGAATACCAATAAGACATAACCAGACAGCCTTTAGATGGACTACAGTGAAAAGAAATCACTAGGTAGTAATCTGCAGAGAAAGCCATTCTCTTTTATCCTATCTTTGCATTTCCTCTTAGTTTCTGCACTAGTTATATCTAGATAAAAGGGGGAGAGACACCTCTAAGTGTAATAATGTACATTCCTCGTGTGGCTCAGAGTGGCAAAAGCTGTAGAGAGTAGCAGGAAATGTCAGATTTTTGACATATTCTATCAGAATCTTGAAGTTTGAGAATCACTTCCTAGATTAAGAAGAGGCACTGATTTAAGATTACAGGATAACATATCTAGAAAAGAGAAAAAAAATTCTTAAGTATTTAACTATTTTCTAGGGGACAGATTGCTTTAGCTCAGATTCAAAGTAATAATCTTAACTCAGAATGAAAGAAAGGATTTCAGGTGAAGATACAAGAAATCAGTCAGCAAGCCTAATGACTAATAGATACCTGGCCTAAAAAATAAGTTAACCTAAAAGAAATAAATTATTCTTTGTAATTTATGTTTGTCACATATTGATTACGTGAAGTGCTGAGATGCTGCTTTTACAGACTCTCAGATATACTGTACTTACTATCTCACAGTTAACTTTCAATTGTTTTTCTCTTAGAACCAAATGACATAGTTCACACAGCACAACCATTTCTATGGACCCACCCAGGATAACATGCAACTGCTAGCAAGCTTTGTTAGACTCTTGCCTCTTGTTACTTGTACAAAAAACCTATACTGGCTGGGTGCGGTGGCTCACGCCTGTAATCCCATCACTTTGGGAGGCCAAGGCGGACCGATCAAGAGGTCAGAAGATCGAGACCATCCTGGCTAACACGGTGAAACCCCGTCTCTACTAAAAATACAAAAAAAAAAAAAAAAAAAAAAATTTAGCCGGGCGTGGTGGCAGTCGCCTGTACCCAGCTACTGGGGAGGCTGAGGCAGAATGGCGTGAACCCGGGAGGCGGAGCTTGCAGTGAGCCGAGATTGTGCCACTGCACTCCAGCCTGGGCGACAGAGTGAGACTCCGGGGCGGGGCGGGGGGTGGAGGGGGGGTACCTATAACATGATAAGAATAGCTAATGCTTATATAGCGCTTACTATGTGCCAGGACTGTTACAAGCACTTCACATACATTAAGCATTTAATCCATACAGCACGTCTATGAAGTGGTACTTCTATTATCTCTATATTACAGATAAGATAGTCAAAGCTCAGAAAGAGTAGATAAACTCCCCAAAGTCACATTTTTAGTAAGAATTAGAAACAGTATTCAGATCCTCATTTCAACAAATTTTATTCTGCACTAAACAACCAGTCTAAATACTTTGGAATAAAAGAGAGCGGGAATATTACTATAAGCAGAAACAGTTAAATTTTATAAAAGGGAAATCTTTTATAAATATTGACAGCTTGTCAGTAACTGGTTACAGTTTATTTGTGACAAACTACAAGCCTAACTATGCCTTCATAGCGAAACATATTGCTCCTTTGTAATACTTACCTGTAAAAAATCAATACTCTTCTTAATGATAGAATATCTTCTGTATGGTAGACACTATGCTATGCGCTGGGGATACATTAGTGAAGCAAACTTACCACACTTTTAAAATACCTCTTGATGACTCTTGATATATGCCGTATATGCTTCTTGATACTATTTTCTGTTTGCTTGACTGTCTTCTTTACTAGACTGTGATGTCTTAAAGGGCACAATAGTAGGACATTTATATTTTCATGTTTTTATCACTAGAATCTAGAAGTGTCTGGTAATGAAAAAGCTGTAAATGACTATCTTTTCAATATTGAATGAATTAATGAAATAATAAAATTAAGTCTTCAATTAAAGATCATGGTGGAATCCTGAACTTATACCTACATAAGCACACATGTAAACATTTTTTGAGCACCTATTAAATTATTGTGCTAGATAGTAGACAAATTAAATGAAAATCTCCACATTTTTAGGGAGAAATTTGAAATTAGGAAGAATATGGTTTAATTTATGGTTTGTTTCAGAAGATATAAATTAAACCATCATCCTTGGTGGAGGATAAAGCAACAAGTTAGAAGTGAAGTAAGTCTGAATATTAATTTGATATAATATTTATGCATTTGCTTTTCTTTTTTCTTCAAATAATTTTTTTACATTTGTAGTCCTTCATCCCACTAATCTTCAGGAAAGAGATTTTAAAGGAGAAATGCAAACAGAACAAAAACAAAATCCCTTTATTCATTTTTTTTTTTTTTTGAGATGGAGTTTTGCTCTTGTTGCCCAGGCTGGAATGCAGTGGCACAATCTCGGCTCACTGCAACCTCCACTTCCCTGGTTCAAGTGATTCTCCTGCCTCAGCCTCCCAAGTAGCTGGGATAATAGGCATGTGCAACCACGCCCGGTTAATTTTATATCTTTAGTAGAGACGGGGTTTCACCATATTAGCCAGTCTGGTCTCGAAATCCTGACCTCAGGTAGTCCACCAGCCTCGGCCTCCCAAAGTGCTGGGATTACAGGCATGAGCCACCACACCCAGCCTCCGTTGTTTTAAACAGAGAGTTTGAGAGAATAAATTTTCAATTTCTAAGGGTCTAGGACAGTGGTTTCCACTAGACAATATACTAAAGAGCTAATAACTTAAAATTTATTTCATAAATAGTATATTTGGAAGAATATATAAGGAGCCATTCTATCTTATTGCTAAAAAACTTTTTGGTCTAAAAGATAGAAAGAAGGGGGAATCTGACAATGTAATTTGCGTGGTCTGGGTCAGATATTCCCTCTTGCAGCAGGATTGTAGTACTGTCAGTCCTAGGAATTAAATAACACCATCGTGGACCAAAGTATAACTACTTGGAGACCATCAGCACCATGGTGACTGGAGAGATGGTAGTGAATCAGGAACACCTGATGTTTGAAGAAGAATCTTGAAGAAGAAGAGTGATGCAATGGACAGATGCCAGGGGATTGTAGTCAACTCCAGCCTCAGTAAATCAGATACATGCCCTTTTCTTTTTAATGTGATGGCATAAGTATAATAAACATGTTAAATTAAGTTATCTCTGATATCAAGAAAAAGTTTTTAATATCAAACACTAATTACAGATGCCTCAACAACGATCTTATATTTGAATAATCTTTATAACACTCAGAACATAGTAACATGCAATAATTTTAAAAACTTGAAAAAAATTCAGCCTTTTTATGTATGAGTAAAATTAAATTGCACTCATTATGTGCCCTGTTTACCTTTTATAACTAATTGTCATGCTGCACAATAAGAACATCACATAAACAGAACTAAAAGCAAACCACATGATCGTCACAATGGAGGCAGAAAAGGCTTTTGATGAAATTCAACATTCTTTCATGTTAAAAACCCTCAACAAACTAGAAATCAAAGATACCTCAAAATAATAAGAGCCACCTATGACAAACCCACTGGCAACATCATACTGAATGGTCAAAAGCAGGAATCATTTCCCGAGAGAACTGGTAAAAGACAAAGGTGCTCACTGTCACCACTCCTATTCAATATAGTATGGGTAGTTTCTAGCCAGAGCAATCAGGCAAGAAAAAAATAAAAGGCATCCAAATACGAATAGAAAAAAGCAAACTATCTATTTTCAGACAATATTATTTATCCTTAGAAAACTCCATAATCTGTGCCCAAAGACTCCTAGAGCTGATAAACAATTTCAGCAAAGTTTCAGTATATAAAATCGATGTATACATAACAGTAGTATTTTTATATATGAATAACATCCAAGCTGAGAGCCAAATCAAGATTGCAGTCCCCTTCCCAATAACCATAAGAAGATTAAAATACCTAGGACTACAACTAACCAGGAAGATAAAATAACTCTACAATGAGAATTACAAAACACTGCTGAAATAAATCAAACATGACACAAACAAATGAAAAAACATTCCATGTTCATGAATAGAAAAAATCAATATTGTTAAAATGGCCATACTGCCCAAAGCAATTTACAGATTCAGTGCTGTTCCTATTAAACTACCAATGACATTCTGTACAGAATTATAAAGAAAAATATTGTAAAATTCATTTGGAATCAAAAAATAGCCCCAAGTAGCCAAGAAATCTGAAGCAAAAAGAACAAAGGTGGAGGTATCACACTACCTGACTTCTATAAACTATACTATAAAGCTACAGTAACTAAAGGAGCGTGGTACTGATACAAAAACAGACACACAGACCAATGTAACAGGTTGGAGAACTCAGGAGTAAAGACATTCACCTAAAACCATCTGATCTTTAAGAAAGCTGACAATAATAAGCAATGGGGAAAGAATTCCTATTCAATAAATTGTGGAATAACTGGCTAGCCATATGCAGAAGATTGAAACTGAACCTCTTCCATTTATCATATTCAAAAATCAACTAAAGATGGATTAAAGATGTAAGGCCTAAAACTCTTAAAAAATCTAGAAGAAAACCTAGGAAATAGCATTCTCGACATCAATCCTGACAAAGACTTCATGATGAAGATGTCAAAAGCAATTGCAACTAAAAGAAAAATTGACAAGTGGAACTTAATTAAAATAAGAGATTTTGCATAGGAAAAAAAAAAACTATTAACAGAGTTAACAGACAATTTACAGAAATGGGAGAAAATATTTGCAAACTGTGCATTTGACAAAGGTGCAATATCCAAACTCTATAAGAAACTTAAATCAAAAAAATAAAACCAAACAGCCCTATTAAAAGATGGGCAAGGGTCATGAACAGATACTTTTTAAAAGAAGGCATATGCACGGCCAAAAATCATATGAAAAAATGCTCAATACTACTAATCCTTAGATAAATGAAAATAAAAACCACAATGAGATACCATCTCATGCCAGTCAGAATGGCTAGGATGAATGGATATTACAAAAAAGTAAAACAAATAAACAACAACAACAAAAAAAAAACAGATAAAAACAGATGATGGAGAGGTTATGGAGGAAAAGGAATGCTTTTACATTGTTGGTGAGAGTGTAAATTAATTCAACCACTGTGGAAGACAGTTTGGTGATTCCTCAAAGACTTAGAGGCAGAAATACCATTTGACCCAGCCATCCCATTACTGGGTATATACCCAAAGGAATGCATATCATTCCATTATAAAGATACATGCATGTGTATGTTTATTGCAGCACTATTCACAATAGCAAAGACACGGAATGAACCTAAATGCCCATTGATGGTGGACTGGATAAAAAAATGTGGCACATATACACCATGGAATACTATCCAGCCATAAAATAGAATAAAATCATGTCCTTTGCAGCAACATGGATGCAGCTGAAGACCATCCTTAGTGAATTAACACAGGACCAAAAATCCAAATGCTGCATATTTTCACTTATAAGTGTGAGGGAAACATAGAGTACACATGGACACAAAAAAAAGAACAATATACATTGGGGCCTACTTGAGAGTGGAGGGAGGGAGGAGGGTAAGGATTAAAAATATATTGAATATTATATTGATTACCTGGATGACAAAATTTTCTGTACACCAAATCCCTGTGACTGGCAATTTATCCATGTACCAAATCTGCCCATATACCTCTTGAACCTACAATAAAATATGGAAAGAAAAAAATAATTTTATACATTTAATGTGTATCAAGTTAACTCTCCTAGGCATTTGACTTGGTTATATAGTGAAATATATGCAAGTGTGCACTTTCACAGTTTGTTGCTTATTTCAGCATGCGAAGCGATTTGCCTTTTGCTGACAATAACAAGAAAGAGGAAGAATTATTATTATTTTCATTGTTATTAAGGATAAATTTTCTGTGACTACTTAGTCAAATATTTTAAACAACTTGCAAGGTACATTCTCCAAACTGTCAATTTGTTCTGAAAGCTGATTAATGCTGCTATGTTTGGTTAAAAATATTTTTCAGCAATGTATTTGATCCACTGGCACTGTGTCAAGTATCACTAAAAGAAGATTTCAAATAAGTGAAAGGCTATTTTATGAAGACACGTGAATAACTGTTACTCATGCCACCAAAGAAAAAAATCTGTGAGCTTCTCATGGAGCAGGAGAGTTTCAGCTTATAAAGAAGGAAAACCTTTTTTTTTTTTTTCAGGAGAATGAAATAGTTGACATGACTTGATACCAATCATGTGCTGAGACAAGGGGTAGACTGAAAAATTACTTGACGACACTCCTAGCATCATAATTTTACAATTGCCTAAGATTTTCAAACTGAGTTATATAATGCAATATGAAATATAAATGTTCACTTTGAAAGAATAGTGGAAATAATTCATTCTGAAGTGCAGATCTGGACAAAGCTATAGTTTTAAACTAATTTACTTAAAACATGAATAATAATAAATGCATCCCTAAGGAAAATATAGAATGAGTAATCACACTGATTATAAATGCTGCTGAATTTATGACAATGTTAAAAGCAGAAACTAGAAGAGGCAAGGGTTGAGATAAAGTATGACATGCTTCTATATTTTTCATATTTTAAATTTATTTTTATTGCATTATAACTTTTAAATGTTTCCTCTAATTAATTTTGATAAGGCTAAATTCATGAAGTTATATAAGTTGTATTTATGTGTGATGTGGCAATTTCTTTTCACAAGTTAAATAAAAAAGTAAACCATAGCATTTCCTCTAATAAATTTAAATGTCAATCTCATATTATTAAATATTAACATTGAGAAAATAGATTGCACAATTTATCACTATAATGTTCTTTCATTTCATGCATGGTTACATGAAATTACTTAAAATGTAATTATAGTGTGACAATTGTCAATTGTTATTTAATATAGCAAATTTTAAAAGACTGATTTTTTTCCTTCACAATGTCACTGCCAACTGCCTCTTTCTATGTATTTCTATTACTATTTCTGTTTCACAGGAGGATGACTAAAACAGCCTCCTAACTTATCTTCCTGCCTAGCCTCTTTTTTTTCTCCAACTACTCTGTATTACTGTGATCATGTCACTCCTCTGCCCAAGGAAATGGAGTGAATTCTGATTTCCTTTCACATCACATTAAAGTTTCTTAATATGTACACCAAGGTGCCCTCAACCAAGAGGGAAACCCTTTTATCTAATTGGTTTTTATTTAATATCCTCAGCCAGAGCATTTTTGCCCTATCTCATTCCCTCTCATTGCTTCCTTTTGTAGAATAAATGCATAGCACTCTTGCTTCAAAATCCCTCAGCACCTCCATATGCATACATTCAATTTTTTATTTCATAACGTTGTACATCCAGCCTCATCATTGAACTCCATACACTCACAGCTGCTCCAATGCCAATATTTTAAAATATAAAAGCCCATAATTGACCACAGTTTTCAGTCTTCCGACTTCATATATACCTTCACTCTCAGTAAAGATATCCTTCACTGTAATGGTAAAATTAAGTTTTTCTTGTGTAAAAGTATGTGACCACTCTCACCTAGATCTCAAAATATCTCTGTGTTCACTGTATCTCTTCAAATTTCCTGTCTCAGAATATGAAGTGTCCAATGCTTGTGCCAGGCTCAGTCTCACACTTTTTCATTTCCCATCCCTTTAAGTAATCAGTGCCATAGTGTTAAAGGTATCTGCATTTTGTTTTCCATTTGCACATTTTCTTAGCCTACAAAGCTGGTCAAATATGTCTAAAACAACCAAGCAGGAAAATCACACTAAAGTAATCAACAATGTCTGAGTATGGGTTCTCTTCAGGCTACAGCTCTTTCTCCTTATTTATTTTATATTTTACTTTATTGTGGTCAGAACACTTAACATGAGATCAACACTCTTAACAAACTATTAAATGTACAAAACACTATGGTTGACCCTAGGTACACTGTTGTACAGCAGATCGCTAGAGCTTATTCATTTTGCTTGACTGAAACGTATGCCCTTGCTTATTGATTGACAACTTCCCATTTTCTCCTTTCCTCAACCACTGGAAACTACCATTTGACTCTTTGATTCTATTAATTTAATTATTTTGGATATCTTATAAAATTGGAATCATATAGTGCTTGTCTTTCTATGACTGGATGATTTCATTTAACATAATGATCTCAATGTTCATCCATTGTTGTCACATATTGCAGAACTTCTTTCTTTTTAAGGCTGAATAGTATTCCCTTGTGTATGTGTGTGCACATGTGTGAGTACTCATATTATTGTACATTTGCACATTTTTAAAATCCATCTATGTTGGACAATTAGGTTGTTTCCACACCTTGGCTATTGTAAATAGTGCTATAATAAACACAGGAATACTAACACTACTTCAAGATCCTGACTTCAATTCTTTTGGATAGATGCCAAGTGAGATTGCTGACTACTTGATAGTTCTTTTAAAATTTTTTTGAGAAAACTCTGGACAGATTTCCTTAGTGGTTGCATTTTATATTTCCACCAACAGTATACAAGGATTGCAATTTCCCCAGTTCTCATAAACATTTCATTCCTTTTCAACTTTTATTTTAGTTAAGACAGTACATATGCAGGTTTGTTACGTAGGTAAATCACACGTTGTATGAGTTTGGTGGAAATTATTTTGTCACATAGGTCATGAGTATAGTATTTAATAGGTAGTTTTTTGATCCTCACCTCCCTTCCACTCTCCATTCTCAAGTAGGCCCTGGCATCTACTGCTCCCTACTTTGTGTCCGTGAGTACTCAATGTTTTACTTACGCTTACAAGTGAAAACATGTTGTATCTGGTTTTCTGTTCCTGCATTAATCTGCTTAGGATAATGGCCTCCAGCTCCATCCATGTTGCTGCAAAGGACATGATGTAGTATTTTTATGGCTGCATAGTGTTCCATGGTGTATATGTGCCACATTTTCTTTATCCAGTCCACCACTGATGGGCATCTATGTCGATTCCATGTCTTTGCCATCGCAAATAGTGCTGTAATGAACATATGCATGCATGTGTCTTTATGATAGAACAATTTGCATTACTTTGAGTATAAACCCAGTAACGGGATTGCTGAGTCGAATTGTAGTTATGCTTTAAGATATTTGAGAAATCTCCAAACTAATAATTTCCATAGTGGCTGAACTAATTTATATTGCCCCAACAGTGTATAAGTGTTTCATTTTCTCTGCAAACTGACCAACATCTGCTATTTCTTGACTTTTTAGTAATAAGTCATTCTGACTGGTGTGAAATGGTATCTCATTGTGGTTTTGATTTGCATTTCTCTAATAATTAGTAGTATTGAGCATTTCTAATATGGTTGACCAACATTTTGTATGTTTTGTTTTTTGATAACAGCAATTCTGACTAATGTGAGATAATATCTCATCAAGGTTTTGATTTGCATTTCTCTGATGATTAGCAACAATGAATATCTTTCTATATACCAGGAGAACACTTCTATATTTTCTTTAAAGAAATGTTTTTTTTCAAATCCTTTGCTCATTTTAAGTTATATTATTGGGTTTATTTTACTACTAAATTGTAGGAGTTCTTTATATATCTTAGACTTTAACCCTTTATCAGATATATGGTTTGCAAATATGTTTTTCCATACCGTAGACTGCCTTTTAACTCTGCTGATTATTCTCATCTTTGTGCAGAAGCTTTTAAATTTAATGTAGCCCCACTTGTGTGTTGTTTTTGTTGCTTATGTTTTTTGGTATCATATCTAAGAAATCCTCAAACCAATGTCATAATTTTTTACTATTTCTTCTAGGATTTTTTTCACTTCACAGTCTTATATTTAAGTATTTATTCTATTTTGAGTTGTTATTTGGGTATCGTGTAAGATAAGTCCAGTTTTAATTTTTTTGTATGTGGATATCTAGATTTTCCAATATAATTGCTGAGGAGACTACCCACACCTCCACTGTGTATTCTTGACATTCTTAACAAAACTTGGTTGACCACATATGCTTGAATTAATTTCTGGGCTCTTTATTTCTAATTCATTGGCCTATATGTCTTTCTTTATGCCAGTACAACACTGTTTTCATCACTGTATCTTGTTAATATATTTTGAATCAGGAAGTATAATTCTCCCAGCTTTGTTCTTTCTCAAGATTGATTTGACTATTTGTAGTCTTTTGTTTTCCATATGAATCTTAGAATTGTTTTTATATTTCTGTAAAAAGTGCTATTGAGATTTTAATATCAATTGCATTGACTCTTTAAATCACTTTCAGTAGTATAGACATTTTAAATACATATTAAGCTTTTCAGCCAATGAATATGGGATATATTCTCATTTGTTTGTGTCTTGTTTAATTTCTCCTATCAATGTTTTGTAGTTTATCATATGCAAGTTTTTCATCCATTAGTTATGATTATCCCTAGGCATTTTACTCTTTATTGTGCTGTTGTAAATGGGATTGTTTTTCTAATTTCCTTTTCAGATAGTTTGATGGTAGGTAGAGAATTAAAAGTATTTTTTGTCTGTTGATTTTGTATCCTACAACTTTACTGGATTGTGTATTAATTGTAACAGTCTTTTTTAAGGAGACATTTGGATTTCTGATATATAAGATCATCTCATCTGCAAACAGGTAAATTTTTACTTCTTCCTTTCTGATTTGGATTCCTTTTATTTTTATTTTTATGCTTTTTCTTGGTTAATCAATCTGGCTTAGACTTCCACTTAGTTATTGAACAGAATTGACCTCTTGAAGTTATTCAACATAGTATTGTCAGTTCTATCCAGATCAATTGTGCAAGGAAAAAAAATGAGTGGGCAAATAATTCAGTGGGCATCCTTGTCTTGTTTCTGATACTAGAGGAAAAGCTTTCAGTTTTATACCGTTGAGATAAAAGTTAGCTGTGGGTTCATTATATATGGCTTTTATTATGTTGAGATAATTGCCTTCTATTTCTAGTTTGTTGAGACTTTTTATTAGGAAAGATGTTGACTTTTGGTAAATATTACTACATTTGTTGGGGTAATTATGATTTTTATCCTTCATTTTGTTAATGTGGTCTATCATCTTAATTGACTTTTTTTATGCTGGATCATTCTTGCATGCCAGGGATAAATCACACTTGATCATAGCGTATGATTCTTTTAATGTGCTGTTGCATTCAGTTTGCTAACATTTTGCTCCGAAGTTTTACTTCAATATTCATTAGGGATATTGGCCTATAGTTTTCTTACCTTGTGGTATCTGGCTTTTGTATCAGGATAATGTTGGCCTCATAAAAAGAGTTTGGAAGTAATTAATATTGCACCATAAGATGATGAGTTTGAAAATATTTTCTCCTCTTCAATTTTTTTTGAGAATTTAGTGAAGGATTGCTATTAATTCTTCTTTAAATGTTTCTTAAAAAGCACTAGTGAAGACATCTAGCCCTAGGCTTTTCTTTGTTGGGAAATTTTGATTCTATTTCTGATTCTATTACTGATTCTATTTCCATACAGGTTATAGATTGGTTACACTTTATTTCTTCATGATTATCCATTGGTAGATTTTATGTTTCTAGTAATTTATTCATTTCTTATAGGTTATCCAGATTTTTGTTGAATAATTTTACATAATAGTTCCTTATTTTTTTTTATTTCTATGGCATCAGTTGTAATGTGTTTTCATTCATTTCTGGATCTAATCATTTTAGCTTTCTCTCTTCTTTTTCTTAGTTAAGAGTTTTTCAATTGTGTTTATCTTTTCAATAAAAACAACTCAATGCCTTTGATTGTTTCTTTTTTTCTTTTTTGTTTTCTTCATGTTTGCATCCATCTTTGTTATTGCATCTCTCTACTAAGTTTCTGCTTAGTTTGTTTTGCTTTCTCTAACTCCTTAAGGTATAAATTCAGGGTTTTTATTTGAAATGTTTCCTCTTTTTAAATGTAGACATTTATCACTATGAACTCCCCTCTTAGAACTATATTTTTTCTTAATCCCGTGTGTTTTGATATGCTTTGTTTTCATTTTGTTTATCTTAGGATATTTTCTAATTTTCTTCTGAATTTATTTTTTTCACATAATATAGTTAAAGAGTTTGTTAATTTCCACATATTTGTAAATGTCCCAGTTTTCTTTCTGCTGTGGCTGTCTAGTTCCAGTACACTGGGTCTAGAAAATATACTTGGTATAATTTTAATCTTGTTGACTATGTTAAGACTTGTTTTGTTAGTTAACATATGATCTATCCTAAAGAAAAAGCCATGTGCACTTGAGAAGAATATGTATTCCACTGCTCTTGGATGGAATGTTCTGTAAATGTCTGTTATGTACATTTGGTTTGTACCATTATTTGAATCCTCTGCTTCCTTTATTAATTTCTTGTTTGGATATTCTGTCTGTTATTGGAAATGGGTATTGAAATCTTTTACTCTTACCGTATTGCTGGCTATTTTTTTCTTTCAGTAGTGTGAATTACTGCTTTATATATTTAAGTGGTCTGATGTTGGGGTGCACATATTAATGTTTTTAATAATTGTTATATCTTCCTGGTGAATTGACAAATTTATCATTATATAATGACCCTCTTTATATCTTGTAACACTTTCTGAGTTACAGTCTGTTTTTTATGGTATAATTATAGCTACCCATTCTCTCTTTTGGGTTACCATTTTCATGGAATACCCTTTTCCAGTCCTTCACTTTTAGCTTCTCAACGTCCTTAAAAGTGAGTTTCTAGTAGAAAACATATAGTCTGGTCTTCATATATGTGTGTGTCTGTGTGTGCATATATATAATAAATCCATTATAAATAAAATATATAAAACCATTTAGACACTCTATAACTTTTGACTGGGAAGCTTAGTCCATTTACATTTAAAACAATTATTAATAGGGAAGGATTTACTATTGTCATTTTGTTAGAATTTTTGTTTTTTTATGGGCTTTAAAAATTTTTTGTATGGATATGTTTTGATTCCTTTCATTTTTGTGTGTGTAACTTATTTCAGTATGTTATGCAGTTACTATGGGGCTTACATAAAATATAACAAATTGTTTAACATATACAAAAATGACACAATATAACTTCTCTACCTCCCACATTTTATGTTATTGTCACAATTTACATTCATTTATAATATGTAACTTTTAACATATATTTATTGTAGTGGTTTTTAATACTTTTGTCTTTTATATTTTATAACAGAATTAAAAGTGATTTTGATTTGCTCACCAGCATTACAGAGATACAATATTCTGCATTTGTATGTATGTATGTGTGTGTGTGTGTGTGTGTGTATCTATCAATGAGCTTCATACTTTCTTATGGTATCATGTTGCTCTTTAATGTCTTTTGTTTCTATTAATACTTAAAGAAATCTCTTTAGTTTTTCTTGTAAGTCAGGTCTAGTGCTGTTGAATTCCCTGTGCTGCTGCATTTCTGGGAATGTATCTCTCCTTTAGTTTTGAAGCAGAGTTGTTCAAGGTACAGCATTCCTGTTTAGCAGGTATTTTTCCTTCAACACTGGATGAATCATCCCACTCCTTCTGACATTCAAAATTTATGGTAAAAATTAGCTGATAACCTTTTTTTTTTTTTTTTTTTGAGACGGAGTCTCGCTCTGTCACCCAGGCTGGAGTGCAGTGGCGCGATCTCGGCTCACTGCAAGCTCCGCCTCCCGGGTTCACGCCATTCTCCTGCCTCAGCCTCCCGAGTAGCTGGGACTACAGGCGCCCGCCACTACGCCCAGCTAACTTTTTGTATTTTTAGTAGAGACGGGGTTTCGCCGTGGTCTCGATCTCCTGACCTCGTGATCCGTCTGCCTCGGCCTCCCAAAGTGCTGGGATTACAGGCGTGAGCCACCGCGCCCGGCCAGCTGATAATCTTATGGAGGCTACCTTGTATGTGATGAGTCACTTTTTTCTTGGTGCTTTTGAAATTCTGTCTTTGTCTTTTGACATTTTCATTATAATGTGTCTTGTTATGGATTTCTTTGGGTTCATCCTGTAAGGGTTCATTTGGTATTCTTGAATATGGATATCTATTTTCTTTCCCAAATTTGGGACATTTTCAGACACTATTTCTTTGAAAAAGTTTTCTGGGATGTTTTCCATATTCTCCTTTTTGATTTACCATAACACATATATTGGTTTTCTTGATGGTGCCCCGCTAGCCCCTTTAGCTTTCTTCACTTGTTTTAATTAGTTTTAAAAATTATTTTCCTTTTTTCATTGAATTATATTGAACGATCTGTTTTCAGGTTCACTGATTCTATATTTTGCTTGATCTAGTTTGCTGTTGAATTCTACTGAATTTTTCAGGTCAGTTACTTCATTCAAATGTAAAGACCTGCCACCAATCAGCCCAGCCAGATACTTATGTGGAGTCTACCAACTCTTTTCCTCCACAAAAAAAAACAGGAAAACATGTGTGATGTCTATTGACTCTGTGATGAAGCAGGGGGTTATGGTTCTCCCAGCCTAAGCTGCCATCTTTGTTCTCCTCCATGCAGCAAGACAGTACTAGAATGGTGAGAGCTAGAGAGGTGAAACATATGCAAGTACTTTGGACATCCCTAGAGTAGTTGGAGTTCTGGAGTCTTGGATCGACTCTTTATCTCCCTAGATGGAATCTGAGAGCTGGAATTTTTCATTCACACGCTCTGTGCCAAGCATGGGAGAAGATCGTTGTCATTTATTATCCCAAGCCTTTTTATTTTTACTCTCCCAGGAAACTAGGCTGTGCCACACACGTCAGTACTTTAAGACTGGTAAGATGAAAGCCAGTCCTCTTGGGATCCCCTTTAGAATAACTGGAGCACTGGAAGATAAAACAAGCTCTTCTCTTCCCTGGAGGAAACTGAGAGGTAGAAGGTTTCTAGTCAATTGTATGGTGCTGAGTTGGGTGCAGGGTCTCCAGGTAGAAGGTGTCCCAAATCTCCCTAGCCACTTTGTAAGCCTGTTTTTGTGCTCTCTTGGAGTCTGAATTAGTTTCAAATTTCATACAGGGAAAGGTTTTCTGAAAATTGCTGCTGCATCAGTTTTTGTGGGTGAAAGAGGGGGGTCTAGGAATTTCTACTCTGCTGTCATGCTGACATCCTCTGTTTTCTCTGTATTTTACTTTAAAACCACATGAAAAAGTGGTCTACATTCGTTGTCTACTCCTCTTCTTCACTTTCTGTTACTATCTTTTAACTGGTTTTATATTTCTTGTGCATATCTTCCTTCATAATTCACTTGTAACAAACCTGCACGTTGTGCACATGTACCCTAAAACTTAAAGTATAATAAAAAAAGATAATAGAAATAATAGTGAGATTGATTATAATAGTTAAAATGTATGGAACACTTACTAGGTTTCCAATGACAATACTACTATTATTATCCCAATTAATTGATAAGAAACATGAGATGCTGATAAGTTAAATAATGTTGCCGTTATATATCGCTTTTAAGTCATGGAGCCTAAATTTTCATTAAGATAGTCTGGACTTATGCCTGCTTGATTAAACATTACCTACACACTTCTCAAGATTCTATCTTTACTGTCCTTCTGATTTTATATTTCTTACCTGAGTTAATTTCCTTCAATCATGTTTCTTAAGTTATATCCTCTATATATAATTGCATGATTGTTACATCTACCTTACCAGCATGACCCTGTCTTAAACTCAAACCCCAATATGTCAAATGTGAGTTACAGATCTCCTTATAGATTTTTTAATATACTCATCAAATTCAAGGCCTAAAACAGAACTCATTATATACTGCTAAGCCCCCAATAAAAATCTGTTCTTTTTTGGTGCTTCTTACTGCAGTTGATATTAAATGTAGTCATCCAGGATGAAAACAAGGAAGTAGTTTCATCAGCTCTTTCCTTAGTCACCTTCTGTATCCAAGCCTTGTCAGTTCAAATTTCACAACATTTCCTATTTTTGTTTTCCCCTATATATTTTGTCATTTTCTAAATTAAAGAAGACATTATTTCTTGCCTAGGCTATTATAATAGCTTTTCTAAGTAATCTATGCTTCATCAGGTATTTCTAAAGTATACTAAAAACTGTCATATTTTGTCTATTTCAGAAACTTTCAATGGTTAAATAAATGTTAAGTGAATATTGGAAGCAAACTTTTCTCTACTTCTATTGTTTCTTTCCATGCCAAAAGTTCCTATACGAGTTAACATTTTCTTTGCCTTAGCACAAACTTCCAGTTTCTCAACTTGAAATTTTTATTTAAAAGATTTCTTTCTTCGACGTTCCTATAACACCAAAGTTGTTAATGACAAGTCGTATTATCCATGGTAAAAGAAATACTAAGTTATATTTGTACAGTCTCTATGGAAAATGATTAACAATTATTTAGCATCGGGACAAATAATCAAATGCAAAAGAGTCAACAAAGTAGAAAACAATGAACTATAGAAATCCATGAGAATAATTAATAAAAATATATAATTATTTTGTTAGATTTTGTGATGTTTGAGGTTGTAATGAATTTAACCAATTTCAAAGTTGGGGAGAACAATCCCCAGAAGGTTGCTTTCACTTTTAACACCAATTACAAGTTTAAGGGTTTTAAAATCTATGCTTGCATTTGATAGTTTGCTACAAGGACTCATAGAACTTACTGAAAGTTGCTATATTCATAGTCCCAGTTTATTACAAGAAAGTGATATAGATTAAAATAAGCCAAAATAAAAGACACACGGGAGAGTTCAGGAAGAGCCCAAGCACAAATCTTCTGATTGTCTCCTCCCCATGTAAACATGGATGGTGATAATTCCTCCTTGCCTTGCTTAATTGTGTCACAATATGCATGGAATATTGCCAATCCAGGAAGCTTACTCTGTATTTCAGTATACAGAGTTTTTATTGGGGCTAGGTAATATATTGTCTATATATGCTGACCTGTAGTCTCCAGTCCTTCCCAATGGGCAAGTTAAGGCCTTTATTTTCCAGTCCCTTCTGGAGGCATAACAGAGACTGCATGGCCAAAGCCTCCCTTATAAATCCTATTGATAAACTGCCTGATGGCCAAAGACCACAAGCAAAGAAAGACACTTCTACCGGGCAAAACATTTTGAGAGTCTAGAGATCACCTCCTAGAAAACAAGAAAAAAATATAAGATTTCTCTTTGGGTAAGGTTAGTTATTTATTGCATAGAACTATTTGTCAGGTTTTTTTAAACCTAATATACTTTACATTCATTTCTCATACTAAATAAATGTGTAATTTTATACCAAACAAGACAAATGGAAAAATTTTTTTTCTTCTGTGGTGGAATCAAATGAATTTTAAAATAAAATGACAAAATATTTAAATAATCCTCATTAGTTATGGTTGCACTGGAGACTTTTTCACCATTTTTCGAAAACTCAAATTTAACTGTAACAGCTCTTTTCATTTTCCCTATATTTAACTGTCTGAATGCCAAGCCTACATCACCAAATATAAGTTCTCTCTTAAACTACAAGCTTAAATTTTCAAATGGCTGTTAAATATTATGTTTCTCATTAAGATTCTAAGTAAGATTTAGTTTGAAAAAGTATTTCCCAATAATGATACATAAATAATTTGTAAAATTTTAGTAAAATTTTCAGAGCAAGAAATACTTGAAAGCCAGTAATGTATTTTAAAATGCTTATTTCAGAAAGATAAAGACAGTGCAAAAGTGAATTGCCGAGACCACACAGCTGAATGCCTTTCCTTATTTTTCATCAGCACTCTAGTTCAGAATATTGAATTATTAATCCTTATATTCCTTATACATATATTTATTTACACTCACATTTATATTTACTCTGGCTTATTCAGTCATTTAATGAAGTAATGTAGTGTAAGCATTTGCTATATTTTATGAACTCTGTTACACTCTAGAAATTCAGTATTAAATGCTCTCTTTCTACCCTTCAGGAACCTGCAAAATTGTGAGGTAGATCCCATAAGTAAACCAATAATTGCAAATCAAATTATTAAGAACCAAATAAAGTAAAAAAGATTATTGTGAAAGCATAGTTCCCAAATGATTAAGTCATTCCGGGTGTTGTAAAAAAGGTATACTATGAAAATTAATATCTGAAAGGAGACTTGAAGAAAAAAAAATAGATATGATCAAATAGTTTTAGGAGTCGTGGGAAGGATGAGCTAAGGGAGGAGAAGAGGAAACTAATAATCTAAGCAGAGAAAACAGCATATTAAAATTCACAGAGGCATGAGAGAACACAGCATGTCCAAAAATGGCCTTAGATAATTGTGGATGTAAAAAAAATGTAGCAGTGAGAGTATGTTAAGAGATAAGGTTAAAAATGTACACAGTGCCAGTATGTATCTTACATGACAGCCTGCGCTTAGGGACATTAAAGTGGGCATTGCTGTTTTAGTTATGGATGAGGCTCTAAGGCAATAAGTGACAGAAAACCTACCTAAATTTTCAAGCAAGTAGCTCAGTGAGCTAAGCTCAACTTACAAAAAAGGTGGTCAGAAATTGGATTTTCAACCCTTCATTGATAGCCAACTCTTAAGTGTAAAAGTAATTTAAAGTGGAACATTGAGAAAGACAGAAATTAGAAGTAATGAGGTGCATCACTGCCTATGGAAAAGGGTTAAAGGAGCTATTTTTTTCTTACCACAAGACCAGTGAAAAGGATTTCAAGAGGACAGCTTAGAGAGCTCATTGTCAGTCTTCTGGAACTTAAAGGGCACATTCAACGGGTGTATGACTCATGCATGAGAAATCAGAGAGCAAAAGAATTGACTAACATCATCCATGGAAGTTAGGGAATAATAGTTGGAATTTGAATTCATTATAACCAAATGCATGTGCAGCAGTATAAATGTTGCTGTATCCCCAAAACTATTATCGTAAAACTTAATCCACAAGGTGATGATATTAGGAGATAGGGCTTTTGAAATGTGATTAGGACATAAGGGTAGAGTCCTCACAAACAGGATCAGAGCCTTTTTAAAAGAGGCTGGGATACCTAATGCTAGATGACGAGTTAGTGGGTGCAGCGCACCAGCATGGCACATGTATACATATGTAACTAACCTGCACAATGTGCACATGTACCCTAAAACTTAAAGTATAATAAAAAAAAAAGAAAAGTAAAAAAATAAAAAATAAAAAAAAATAAAAAAATAAAATGAAAAAAAAAAAGAGGCTGGGAAAATATTCCTTTTTTGTTCATTCGTCTGACTATCCCGTCAGAAGGCACCATCTATGAGGAACAGACCCTCATCAGACCAAGTCTGCTGGTGATTTGATCTTAAATTTTCAGCCTCCAGAAATGTGAGCAATAAATTTCTACTGTTTATAAATCACACAGTCTAAGGTATTTTGTTATACAGCCCAAATTAGCTTTACAGAAATTGGTATCAAGAAATGAGGTGTTGCTATAACAAATACCTGTAAATGTGGAAGTGACTTTGGAACTGAGTAATGAGTAGAAGCTGGAAGAATTTTGAGGCATATGGCCATAAAAATAGTCTTAAGGGTGATGTTCATGAGAGCTCAGAGGAGAAGCACTGAAGAGAAAGTTTCAATTTTCTTAGAAATTATCTAGGCGGTTGTGAACAAAATGTTGGTAGGAATGTGAATGGCAAATTCTGTTCTGATGAGGCCTCAGCAGAAATGTAAAACATGCTATTAAAAACTTGAGGAAAGGTGATCTTTTTTATACAGTGACAAAGAACTTAACTGAATTATTTGTGTCCTAGTGCTTTATGGGAAGTAGAACTTCTGAGAATTGAAATAAAATATTTGATGAAAGAAATATCTAGGTAAAGTGTTGAGGGTATATATATTAAGAGATACTATTAAAGAGGTAGACAGTGCCAGTATGGATTTTACATGGCATGCTGTGGTTACAGGACATTAAAATGGGGATTGTTGTCTTAGTTATGGATGAAACTCTAAGACAATATGTGGCAAATAATTTATCTGTTCTGCTTACAGTAAAATGCAGAAGGAGAGTAGCAAATTAGAAATGGGATTTTTAATCAAAAGGGAAGCAGAACTTAAAGATTTGCATAATTCTCAGACTGGACATATTGTAAAGGGAATAAAAAATAAAAAAATAAAAAAAAAACAGAAGATGTTCAGGAGAGAACATCAAGGGTATGTACAAGTGATCATTTGCATTAAATAAGAAGACTAGTATAAATTGCCAGAAGCAAAGTTCTAGCCACCAAAATAATGAAACAATGGCCCTGAAAGCATTTCAGAGATCATTGGGGGCTGCCCTGCCAATCACAGGTTGAGAAATCCAGGGGCCTGAAAACAAAACAATTACAAGTCTCTGCTTCCTGCATTCCAGTGCAGTGCTCTTTGGCTACCTGAGCTGTTGCTCCAGTGGGCACAGACGTGGCTTGGGACACCTGTCTGGGAGGCACAGGCAGTATACAATTATAGTGCCTAAGCAGTACTATCTCGGTGGGTATACCAATTTCAGGACTTGTTAGTATATGGCTACCTCTATGTAGATTTTAAGAGATGCCGCAGAGAGCTTTGAAAACCAGGCAGAGAAATGTCACACATGTGAAGTCACTGTAGAGATTGCAAACTTGGGCAATGCCTAGCAGAGCATCTGGGCAGATTCACCACAGAGAACCCCAACTAGGACAATGCTTAGTGGAGCTGTGGGAAAAGGGCAACTGCAGAGCATCCAGAGTAGGGTGATGCCTAGTGGAGCATGGGGCCAACCCCATGGAACAAAACTGGTAGAGCCATAGGCATGTGACTCTAGCTTGGAAGGACAACAAGCATGATACTCTAATGTATAGAAGCTGCAGCATGAGCTGTGCCCAGTAAAGCCATGGAGGTGAATCTCCCTGGAGCCTTAGGAACCAAACCTCTCCGCCTGTGTTTCCAGAGGATGAAACTTTGACTGGAGGAATATTGTTCTGTAGCCTTAAGATTTAATATTTGTGAGGAGTTACATCAATAAAATGGTGAAATAGGAGACCCCTAGCTTCAAGTGTCCCATAGAAATCTAACAAGTATCTATACACAGGCAAGAATATTATCTAAAATATCCCAGAACTCAGAAGAGATGCTAAAACTTTCCACATGGACTATAGAACTGAGAAAAGCTGTGATGAAACTTTAAGAAAAACTGTTCTATTTGACCATGCTGTTTCTTCTTCATGTTGGCACAGAGAAACACACAGAGAATTCCTCTCTACACATGGTTCATATAGTTTAAAAACAAAGTGAATTGAAAGCAGATATGCAACTTGCTAACCATTCTGGAACCTCAAGCAGGATGTTCATTCCTATCTTTTCCTGCAGGGAACAGTGAGAGTACCATGAAAGCTAGACCACCTAGAGTCAGTTAGAAACAAAGAATAGGGATAGAGTTCACATTTACCAGTACACAGATCATGGTGGCTACTATGCATTCTGGCCAACAAAGATGCCACACCAGAGAAACTAGCCAACAGCAATTATAGCATGAGATTCACTGACCACATGGGTCCTGAGCTTAGAGCAACCTTAGCCCTGAGACAGCTGAAGTTACCATGGGCTTAGAGATTACACCAGAAGTGCTGTCCAAAATATTTGTACAAGCTTACAGTTGAAGGGCATTCCCCCAAAAAAGCCTGACTACAAAGAGTGAAATAGTACCTACCTCTTCAATGTGCAGACATTGATTCATGACCACAAGAATCAAGAACAACTGGAAGAATATGACGCCACCAAGCAGACAAAATAAGGTGTCAGTGACTAATTCCAAAGAAATGAAGATGCATAAATTGTCTGATAAAGAATTCAAAACACCTGTCTTTAAAAAGCTTAGTTAAGTTCAATAAAATAAAAAAAATCAGAAATGTGTGAGAAATATTAAAATTATTTTAAAATACAATTCATAAAATATGCAATGAAAAGTAGCAACAGCAGAAATGATCAATTAAATTAAAAAGTACAAAAACTCAAAGGAAGATAGATTATTTTAAATTTGACCATCAGAGGAGAAATTTTTTAAATAATAAGAATGTATGAAAAAAGCTAATGAGTTTTATAGAACTATATCAAAAGAGCAAGTATATGAGTCATTGGTGTCTAAGAAGAAGTAGAGTAAGAGAAAGAGGTAAAAAGCTTATTTAAAGAAATAATAGCAGAAAACTTTCCAAATGTGGAGAAAGATATAAATATCCAGGTACAGGAAAGTCAAAGGTCACCAATAAGATTCAATACACATAATACAACCCAAAGACATAATTGAACTCTCAACAATCAAAAACAAAGAGAGAATTTTGAAAGCATCAAGAGGAAAGAAACAAATCATATATAAGGAAGTCCCAATATACCTAACAGCTGACTTCTCAGCAGAAACCTTACAGGCTAGGAAATAGTAGAGTGATATATTCAAACAACTGAATAGAAAAAGAAAGAAAAAGAAAACTACCAATCATGATTACTGTACCCAGCAAAGTTGTCCTTCAGAAATGGAGATAAAAAACTTTCCCAGACAAGCAAAAGCTGAAAGTTCACTACCACCATACGTATCATGAAAAACATGCTAAAGGGAGTTATTTAAGCTGAAAGGAAATGATGATAGTAAGTAATACAAAAACATCCGAAAGTATAATACTAACTTATAAAAGTAAGTACACATTCAAATTCAGAATATGCTAATACTGTAATAATGGTATGTAAATTAATCATATTTTCAGTGTAAATATTAAAAGTCAAAACTAGTAAAATAATAACCATAATAATCTGTTAACAGATATAAATTATAAAAAGTTATACATTGTGATAACAAAAATTAAAAATGTTTGAGGAAGTATGGGATTAAAGTGTAGAGCTGTTTTGGTGATCAAAGTTAAGTTTTTATCAACTTACACTTCGTTATAACTTTAAGATGTTTTTATAAGCCTCATGGTAACCACAAAGCAAAAACCTTTAACAGATACATTAAAAATGAAAAAATGCTAGCAAGCAAAATGAACTACTATAGAAAGTTATGTAACCACAAAGGAAGACAATAAGGAAGAAGACAGAAAGAAAGAGAGAGAAAGAGAAAAAGAAAGAAAGTAACCAAGAAATAAAGAAACAAAGAAGGAATCTATAAAACAACTGGAAAACAGTTAGAATGGCAGTAGCAAGTCTTTACCTATCAGTAATTACCTTGTAGGTAAGTGGATTAAATTCACCAATTAAAATACAGAGTGGCTGAATGGAAAAAAAAAAACAACTTTATGCTGTTTCACTTCACCTCTAATGACACACATAGACTGAAAGTGATGGGATGGAAAGAAACTTCCCATGAAAGTGGAAATCAAAAAGAGAGCAGGAGTAGCTGTACTTATATAAGATAAAATAGACTTTAAGTCAAAAACTTTAAAAATTAATAAAAATGTCATTACATAATAATAAATGAGCCATTTCAGCAAGAAGATATAACAATTGTAAACATATACACACACAACATTAACTCTAAATATATAAAGGAAATATCAAAAGTTCTATAGAAAGACATAGACTGCAATACAATAATAGTAGGAGACTTTGATACCTCACTTTGAGCAACTGACAGATAATTCAGACAGAAAAATTAACAAAGAAACATTGAATTTAAACTTCACCCTAGGACAAATAGACCTAACAGACACTTACTGAACACACCATCTGACAACACATTTGTATCAACTGCACATAGAACATTCCCTAGGATAGACTGCATATTTGATCACAAAACAAGTCTTAACAAATTTAAGAAGACTGAGATTATCAGACCACAATGGTATAAAGCTAGAAACTAATAACACAGGCAATTTTGGAAATTTTACAAATACGTAAAAATTAAGCAACCTGAACCTGAATGACAAATGAGACAATATAAAAATTAAAAGAAAAATTTAAAATTTCTTGAAACAAATGAAAATGATAATACAACATACCAAAACCTATGAGATATAGGAAAGGTAGATTTTAGAGGGAGCTTTACAGCAACAAACAACTCCATGAAAAAAGATGATCTCATATATACAACATAGCATTGCAATTCAGCAAACAAGAATAAACTAAACAGAAAATTAAAGAAAATTAAATGATAAGGATCAAATAAAAAATAAATGAAATAGAGACAAAAGCCACTACAAAGGCTCAACAAAACAAAGAGGGTTTTTTTTTTCTTTTGGAAAGATAAAATTGACAAACCATTAACTAAACTAAATAAGAGAGAGACAAGGTTTAAATAAACAAAATCAGAGATAAAAGGTAGACATTACAAATGACACAATAGACACACAAAGGATTATAGACACTATTATAAATAATTATAAGCCAACAGACTATATAACCCAAAAGAAATGGATAAATTTTTGGATGTATAAAACCTACCATAGTTTAATTATAAATAAATTAAAAATCTGAACTAATACTGATTAACATTAAGTAAGGTGATTGGGCCAGTAATGAAGCACCTTCCATCAAATAAAAGACCAGGACCTGATACGTTCACTGCTGAATTCTACCAAACAGTTAAAGAAATAATACCAATTCTTCTCAAACTATTACAAAAACTCCAAGATGACAAAATCTTTCCAAATCTATTCTATGATGCTTACATTACTCTGATGTTAAAACCAGAGAAGAACATAACTAAAAAATGAAAACTATGGGTCAATATGTCTGATTAACATAGGTGCAAAAATTTTCAACAAAAAACTAGCAAATCACATTCAATAACAGTTTAAAACAATCATTTACTATAATTAAGTGGAATTAATTTCAGGGATGCAATGATAGTTCAATATGTGGAAATCAATAAATGTGATACACCACATTATCAGAATGAAGGACAAAGACAATATGATCATTTCCATAAGCAAAAGGAGCATTTGATAAAATTTATCTCCCCTTCATGATAAACCTGTCAACAAAATAAACATCAAAAGAAAGTGTGTTAACACAATAAAGAACACATATAACAAACCCATAGCTAACATCAAACTGAATAAAAATTTAAAGATTTTTCTCTAAGGTATGAATTAAACATAGATGTTCACTTTTACTACTTCTATTTAAAATAGTATTGGAAATCCTAGCCATAGAAATTAGGCAAGAGAAATATTTTAAAAAAGGGCATCCACATTGGAAAACAAGCAGTCATTTTGTCTCAATTTACAGATGACATGGTCATGTATACAGTAAACCCTAATGACATCACCAAAAAACTGTTAAAAGTAATAAATGACTTCATTAAAGTTCATTTGACTTTGTTGCAAGTTACAAAACCAACAATAAATTTTAGTAGCATTTCCATATACTAACACTGAACTAACTCAAAAAAAAATCAAGAAAACAATCTCATTTACGATAACTACAAAAGATTACTTGGAATAAATTTAACCTGGGAGGTAAAAAATTTTTACACCAAAAACTATAAAACATTGTTGAAATAGATTGACGACATAAACAAATGAAAATATAGCATGCATTCATGAATTTGAAAAATTCATATTGTTGGTGATTCAATACAATCCCCATCAAAATACCAATGGCATTTTTCACAGAAATAAAAAAATACTGAAATTTGTTTAGAACAACAAATGACTTAGTCAAAGCAATTTTGAGCAAAGAAAAACAAAGCTGGAGAAATTATGCAACCTAATTTCAAAATATACTACAAAGCTACAGGAACCAAAACAGCATGGTACTGGCATGAAAACATAGAAATCAGTAACATAAAATAGAGAACCAATAAATAATTTTACACATTTACAGTCAATTGACTTTTCATGAAGGTGCCAAGAATACACGATGGTGAAAGTACCATTCTCTTCAATAAATGCTACTAGGAAAATTGTATATCCACAAACAGAAGAATAACATAAGACTCCTATCTTTCACCATATACGAAAATCTACTAAAAATAAAATAAAGCCTTAAATGTACACCCAAATCTATGAAACTACTAGCAGCAAACTTGGCAAAATCTTTGGGATACATGATTTTTGTCTGAACAATGATTTTCTGGATATAAACTCAAATGCATGGATAATAAAAGAAAAAAACAGACAAAACACATTGCATCAAACTAAAAAGCTTCTTTAGCAAAAAGAAAAATCCATGGCGTGAAGAGAAAAGCTACAGAATGGGAGAAAATATTTGCAAACCATACATCTAATAAGGGGTTAATATTCAAAATATGTAAGAAACTTAAACTGCTGAGCAAGAAAACATATAACCCTGTTAATAAGTCCACAAAAGGCCTAAGTAGACATTTCTCAAAATAAGATATACACATTGCCAACAGGTATATGAAAAAAATGGTCAACATCACTAATCATCAGGGAAATGCAAACCCAAACCTTAATGACATATTACCTCTCAACAGTAGGAATGGCTATTACCCAAAAGATAAAAGGCCACCCTTGCACACTGTTAGTTGGAATGTAAATTAGTGAAGCCATTATGGAAAAAGTATGGAGTTTTCTCAAAAAATTAAAAACATAACTTCCATATGATTCAGAAAAGCCACTGCTGGGTATATATTTAAAGAAATCAAAATCAAAATGTTGAAGAGATATATTCACTCCCACGCAGCACTATTTACAATAGCCAAGATAGGAAAACAACCTACACATCCATCAACAGATGAATGGGAAAAGAAAATGTGATATATCTACACAATGGAATATTTTTTCAGTCATATAAAAGGGGAAAATTCTGTCAATTGTAACAAGATAGATGAATCTAGAAAACATCATGCTAAATGAAATAAGCCAGGCACAAAATAACAAATTTTGCATTATCTCACTTATATGTGACATCTAATAAAGTTGAACTCATACAGGAAGAGAGTAGAACAATACCAGATGCTGGGGTATTGTAATGGAAGGAATGGGGAGTTGTTGATAAAATGTTTTAGGTAGGAGAATGGAAAATTGTTAAAATGGACAAAGTTTCATATCAATAGGGGGAAAAAGTTTGAGATGTATTGAATATATCACTGATACAGTTTGGCTGTGTCCCCAGCCAAATCTCTTCTTGAATTGTAATTCCCATAATCCCCATGTGTCATAAGAGGGACCTGGTAGGAGGTAATTGAATCATGGGGTCGGGTTTTTCCATGCTGTTCTCGTGATAGTTAATAAGTCTCATAAGATCTGATGGTTTTATAAAGGGCAGTTCCCCTGCACACACTCTCTTGCCTGCCACCATGTAAGACGTGCCTTTGCTCCTCCTTTGTCTTCTGCCATGATTGGAAGACCTCACTAGCCATGTGGAACTGTGAGTTTATTAAACTTCCTTTCCTTTATAAATTACCCAGTCTTGGGTATTTCATATAGCAGTGTGAGAACGGACTAGTACAATCACATAAAAAATATATAAGCGTAGTGATGGATATGTTAATGAGCTTGATTTAATTATACTACATTGTATGCATATATCAGAATATCATATTGTATTCCATAAATGTATGTAACTATGATTTCTTAATGAAAAATAGTTTTTCCTGTTGGGTTTTAGATTTGATTGGGATGTATTTTACTTTTTTATTATTTTTCCTATTTGTCCCTTTTGGAAAGGCTTAAGCTGGGCAATAAAGGAAGTTAAAACTTTTAAAGTAGTACTGGCTGACCTCTATGACTAGAATGATAATCCATATTGACATCTGGGTTTGGGTTGGCATTATACAATTTGTATCACATTAAGGAGATCAGAGGGCAAAAATGCATATACCCTCTTGGTCAGGGCATTAATTCCCCTAGATTCTTTCAGTCAAGGTTTGGCAAGGTTTTGTTCCTCTAGCAAAAGTAATAGTTTCTGTTGGGAAGATTTCTCCTTAGCTACATGTTACATAGATCTAGTTATTACTCATTCTCCTTGCTTGGTTACATCTAGGAGTGGTTATAACAACTGTTGCTAGACCTGTGGGTTGCTATCCCTTGACAATTTTCCTCATCTTGTCCATCCTTTTTAAGTAGTGCCCTTACCGAACTCTCCTTAGTAACTTCGTTTTGTAGTGCCATACTTTTCTTGCAAAAACCCTTATGTATCCATGATATCTAATTTTTAAAAAATGACAATGTGGAGAAGGACTTGTTATTTATTGAACTGTAAATATTTTAGAACCTAATAACCAGAATTATTTTCCAAAATATTGTGAGAAAAATCATGGGAAAATACATTTATACAGAAGATGCTTGAGTGGGCTTTGGAGAAATAAACAATATTTTCTGCTGAATCCTATGAATGCTTCTCATTGCCATGGTTACAACATTTCCTTGGAAGCTCCTTGGATAAAAAGAACATGAGTTGTATTTCTTTTGACTTCTTCTTATAAACCACTGATATTGAAGAGAACACTATATAGAAAAACATTTTGGAGATAATAAACACATTAATTAGAAGAACATATTGGGTTTAAATGAATTAGAAAAGAGGAAGTTTAAAAGAAAATATACTGTTTACTCAACAAAAAGAATGAATAGAATGCATTTTAAGGTGAAATGCAAAATATAAAGATAAAATTTTAAAAATAATATTAAATGAAGAAGCAAATGAGAAAAAAAGAAACCCAATGTAAATGAACATCAACACCAAAAGGTAAAAACACTAATTAAGAAAAAATAAATGGGAGAACATATAAGCAAATAATAGTACAATAAAAAAGAGCATAAGTACACTCAAGATTATTTCAAATCATAACTAAATTATATTAATAACTTTATACCAATAAAATTGATAAGACATATTAAATGACAACTATTCTAGAAAATATAAACTACTACAATTGATTAAAGAACAAATAGAATAATTAG
Organism: Homo sapiens; assembly: GCF_000001405.40. Lineage (NCBI taxonomy): Eukaryota > Metazoa > Chordata > Mammalia > Primates > Hominidae > Homo > Homo sapiens. The sequence continues at coordinate 82,402,973 of NC_000023.11, read as the reverse complement.
TAAATAAATTGCTAAGCCAGGAATGGTGGCTTGTGCCTGTAATTTCAGGGCTTTGGGAAGCCGAGTTGGGAAGACTGCTTAAGTCCAGGAGTTCAAGGCTACAGTAAGCCATGATTGCCCTCTGTACCCCAGCCTGGGTGACAAAGTGAGACCTTGTCAATAACAAAATTTAAAATAGATAAGTTAATTTAAAAATTAATTAAAATAAAAAGAAATTAGTGAAATTATAAGCTGTTACACTATTTACATGAGTTGTCTCTTGATTACATGAGTTGTCTCTTGATTACATGAGTTACACTATTTACATGAGTTGTCTCTTGATTAAGCAGATATTTCACATTTTAGAGACTTCTTTATTTAATTGTTCACCACATTTAAAAGGGAAATTACTTCGTAATGTTTTCATCTGATTTACCTTAAAATCTACAGCTTTCCAAAATGGGACTTTCAGGTTGGATGAGTGAGGAGCTTCATAAATCAACCACTCCAACAAATCAATAAAAGCACTAGCAAAAACAACAACAACAACAACAACAACAACAACAACAAACCAACTTTTTCAGAGCTTCGGTAATTAACCAAAACCTTGCTATACTTGGAGAATTACTAATTCAAGGAAAACTGCTAAATCTCAGTAAGAAGAGCAGGGCTGGCCATAACATTTTAAACTGATCTACTACTATCCTTTTCTCAGGTTTCTTTAAGCTTTGAAAAGCAGCAGCCCCACAACCAAGTAGCTATGAGAAACGGTAGCCTTTCAGTCACTGGAAGGGAAACACTGGGTTTGAGACTCCCCAAAAAGCCATATCCAAAGCATTTCTCACTATATGACCTGTCTTGAAGCTCTCTAGAAGAATTATATTCACATGGTGTTGTTATTTGATTTAATTCAGTCCTCACTCGTGGGAAACACCCTATATCCAGAGCTTTCATTCAAGATAATTGGTGGCAATTATTTTTTATCACTGACGCATGAGGCTATGGTATCAGCTCAGGTAAACAAGAAACTGGCCAACAAAGTAAAAGAAATACCTGAAGAAGGAGTTGTCTCATGGAAGGCTTTGAAGAGCTATGACATATTCTTGAGGTACTAAAAGGACATATTCCTGCTCAGAAAATATCAGACAGAGCTCAATCTGTAACTTTTGGCTGAAATGATATCTTCAGAAACAGGAAGCAAGAACAATGACAGAATGATAAATTACTAAAAGATAACATACATATGGACAGCAGGTATATGAAAAATGGCTCCATATTACTAATCATCAGGGAAATGCAAATCAAAACCACAATTAGATAACATGTTCCCCCAATCAGAATGTCTATTACTACAAATGCAAGGAACAACAGATTTTGTTAAGGATGTGAATAAGAGGGAACTCTTATACACTGTTGGTGGAAATGTAAATTAGTACAGCCACTGTGGAAAACAGTACAGAGATTTATCAAAAAGCTAAATATAGAACTACCCATCAATCCAGCAATTCCACTACTAGGCAATTATCCAAAAGAAAAGAAATGAAGATATGAAAGGGATACATTAACTCTTATGTTTATTGTAACACTATTGACAATAGCAAAGATATGGGATAAAACTAAGTGTTAATTAGCAAATGAATGGATGAAGAAAATGCGGTATACATACACAGTAGAATACCATTTGATTATAAAGAATAATTAGATCACGTGATTTTAGCAACATGGATGAAACTGCAGGTCATAATGTTAAGTGAAATAAGCCAGGCACTGAAAGACAAATATTGCATGTTCTCACACCTATGTGAGAGCTAAGAAGAATTGTTCTCATTGACTTAGAATGTAGAATGGTAGATACCTGTGATGGGCAGAATATATAAGTGCGAGTGTTGAAAAGAGGCTAGTCAATATGTACAAACATACAGCTAAATGGAAGGAATAAGTTCTAATCTTTGACGGAAGAGTAAGTTGACTACAGGTAGCAACAATATATTGTACTTATAAAATAGCTAGAAGACAGGACTTGAAATGTACTCTATATAGATAAATGGTAAATATTTCGGTGATGGATACCTTAAATCCTCTAATTTGAACATTACACATTCCATGTGTATGACAAAATTTCACGTGCATGTTATAAATATGTAAAAATATAATGTATCTAAAAATAAAAAAAAATAATAGACACATGAAAAACATTTAAACTGGACCCTTACCTCACATGATACGCAACATTAACTCAAAATAAATCAAAGACCAAAATCTAAGAACTAAAATTATAAAACTCTTAGAAGAAAATTTAGGGTAAATCTTTGTGACCTTGGATATGGCAATGGATTCTTCGATAAGACACCAATAGCACAAGTAACAAAAGAGAAATAAATTGGACTTCATGAAAATTAATACTTACTTTGTTTTAAAGGGCACTAGGATACTACTGATACAGGATGGGGGCAGGGAAATGCTGGGTAGAGAAGGGTGAGGTCCCTGACAAAGGCTCCACCCTCAGGCCTGTGCCCACGGTCCTAAGTGAGGACCAGCTTTTCTGTTTTCACAAACAAAAAGTTGCCTTTGGGCTCACCACACCCCCCATCCTGTGCCCATATAAGCCAGAGACCTTAAGCGGACACACACACACCAGCAGCTGGACGTGGAGAGGAACACACCAGCAGAACACACCAACAGATGCCGGCAGGCCATCAATGGCAGAACAACGTGGATGCCAAGGGGAATTCCGCTGAGGGCACTGGGAGGAGAGCCCAGCCACTTAGCAGCCCAACCCCGGGGAAGACCACCTTCCCACTCCGTGCCCCTTCTGGCTTCCAGTCCATCTGCTGAGAGCTACTTACACCATTCAACAAAGCTTTATACTCATTCTCCAAGCCCACATGTGATCCAATTTTTCCAGTACACTAAGGCAAGAACCCCTGGATACAGAAAGCCCTCTAACTTTGTGATAAGGCAAATGGATCTACTTGAGCTGATTAACGTAAGCCACCTGCAGATGGCTAAGCTGAAAGAGCACACTATAACACATGCCTATTGGGGCTTTGGGAGCTGTAAACACTCAACCTTAGACACTGCCGTGGGGTGGGAGCCCAACAACCTGCCCATCTGCATGCTCCTCCTAGGGGCTGGAGCAGCAGGGCACCACATAAGTGAGCCACACCCCCATCACATGCCCTGTGACGGGAATAAGGGAAAATTCCTCCCATTTCACCGTTACACTATCAAGAAAGTGAAAATACAACCCACAGAATGGGAGAAAATACAGTCTTGCATCACTTAACAATTGGAGTTTGTTCTGAAAAAAATGTGTTAATTGATTTCATTGTTGCACAAAGTTCATAGAGTATACTTACACAAACCTAGATAGTATAGTCTACTGAACACTTAGGCTATTTAGTATAGCCTATTGCTCTTATACTACAAACCTATATAGCATGTTACTGTACTGAACACTGTAGAAAATTGTAACAAAATGATTAGTATGTGTGTATCTAACATATCTAATCATAGAAAAGGTATATTAAAAATATGGCATAAATGATAAAAAATAGTGCACCTGTAAGGCACATGCTATGAATGGAGGTCGCAGGACTGTAAGTTGCTTTGGCAAGTCAATGTGTTTCTGGTAAGTGAATGTGAAGATCTTGGACATTACTGTACACTAATGTAGACTTGCTGAACACTGTATACTTAGGTTACACTAAATTTATATATCAATATTTTCTTTCTTCAATAATTTTAACTTTAACTTACTATAACTTTTTTTACTTTATAAATGTTCTTTTTTAACTCTGTCTCTTTTGTAATAACACTTAGAACACATATTGTACAGCTGTACAAAAATATTTTATTTCTTTATATATTTATTTTAGAAGCTTTTTTCTATTTGTATTTTTTCTTACTTTTTAAACTTTTTTTAAAAAACTAAGACACAAGCCCACAATAGCCTAGGCCTACATAGGGTCAGGATTATCAATATTATTGTCTTCCACCTCTACATCTGATTCCACTGGAAGGGCTTCTAAGGCAATAACAGTATTGAACTGCCCTCTGCTATGATAAGAATGCCTTCTTCTGGAATACTTCCTGAATGAACTGCCTAAAGTTTTTATAGTTAACTTTTTTACGAGTAGAAAGAGTACACTCTAAATTAGTGATAACTATAGTATAGTAAATACATAAACCAGTAACACAGATTTTTTGAAGCATGATCAAGTATTGCATATTTAATGTAACCGTATGTACTACACTTTCATAAAACTGGCAGCACAATAGGATTGTTTACACCATCATCACCACAAATATTTGAGTAATGTGTTGTGCTACAATGTTATGATGGCTTCAATGTCACTAGGCAATAGGAAATTTTTTTTGCTCCATTATAATCTTGTGAGATAACAATTATATATGTTATTTGTTGTTGACCAAACCATTATTATGCAGCGTATAACATTACTTGCAAATTTGATGGAGACTTGTATCTAGAATATCTCAGTAATTGTTTTTAAGAACTCAATTTTATTAAAATGGCCAGGACCCTGAACAGACGTTTCTTTAAAGATATACAAATGGTGAATAAGCACATGAAAAGGTGGTTCAACATCATTAGTTATCAGGGACATCCAAACCAAAGCCTTATTAGCAATAGTGCCTTTCTTTACAGCCTTAGTTTTCCAACAAAGGGACTGCAGGTTAGAAGCTGAGGAAAATAAATACTGTGATTTAAGTCTTCTTCCTCCTTCAAATCTTATACTGGAGATTCCCATTGATGAAAGCCCATTTTAAGCTAGAGGGCAAGGGATTCCACAGATATAGTCCATACAGGTAGGCTTTGTATAGGAGAAAACAAGGTGGATAAATGAGGAGGGTGAATTTAGAGGGGTAAATGCAAGCTATCCAGCAAGGTAGTTATATGATTCTTGGTTGCTTATAACTTAAGAAGTTAAATATTTGCATTTCACCAATAAAATATTCCACTAGCATTACTGTACTTTTGGTTGCATTTTCATTAGAATCCTACATATTTATTAATGTTCGCAGGCCCAAAATAATTAGAGTATTGCTTCCAAAGGCACAGATGAAATTCTTGGCAATCTTCACATATATAGAGTTAGTAAAACTACCCACAAAATTTCTGATCAAATCTTAAAACTGTCATAGATACTGTTGTCTATCTTTATGTGTAGGGCTTTTCCATATTTTCCTAATATATCTTTGTTTTCTCTAATTCCTTTTTTTCTAAACAAACTTTTTCTTCTTGTTCTAAAATATCCCAGACTCTTAGTTTCTGTTAAAAAATGAAAATTATTATAATAACCTTTTTATTCTATTCAGCCTCATCCAACCTTCCCTGCCTCTTCAAAAATTTCAGACATGAATGCTCTTATTTCCTTAATGTCTCAGTCTTTCTCACTTTTGCCTGAACATAATATCAATACTTTCATTCCTCTGGCACTCTAGATCTTCCTCATACTCTCTGGTGTCATCCACTACCAAAATGTATATGAAATCCCTAAATGCATCACAGCCTTTGATTTCTACAAAGTGATTTTTAGACAAAAAAGCATATAAGTAATACATGCTGGGGCAGAATAAATAAAATATCAATCAGTGCACTCATTTATTATGCTTCCAGAACAAATCTCCAGTTGAAAATAACAAATAGATTAAAATATGATTTGTACATTTTAGGTGAGGGATCTTATGCAAATCTTTAATGGCCTCTGATTGGAATTAATTTCCAAACACTATTTTTTTATTATACTTTAAGTTCTGGGATGCACATGCAGAATCTGCAGGTTTGTTACATAGGTATACACGTGCCATGGTAGTTTGCTGCATGCATCAACCCGTCATCTACATTAGGTATTTCTACTAATGCTATTCCTCCCCGCATCCCCCGACAGTCCTCAGTGTGATTTTCCCCTCCCTGTGTCCATGTGTTCTCATTGTACAACTCCCACTTATGAGTGAGAACATGCGGTGCTTGATTTTCTGTTCCTGTGTTAGTTTGATGAGAATGATTGTTTCCAGCTTCATCCATGACCCCGCAAAGGAAATGAACTCATCTTTTTTATGGCTGCATAGTATTCCATGGTGTATATGTACCACATTTTCTTTATCCAGTCCATCATTGATGAGCAATTGGGTTGGTTCCAAGTCTTTGCTACTGTGAACAGTGCTGCAATAAACATATGTGTGCATGTGTCTTTATAGTAAAATGATTTATAATCTTTTGGGTATATAACCAATAATGGGATTGCTGGGTCAAATGGTATTTCTGGTTCTAGCTCCTTGAGGAATCACCACACTGTCTTCCACAATGGTTGAATTTACACTCCCACCAACAGTATAAAATCATTCCTATTTGTCCACATCCTCTCCAGCATCTGTTGCTTCCTGACTTTTTAATGATTGCCATTCTAACTGGAGTGAGATGGTATCTTATTATGTTTTTGATTTGTATTTCTCTAAGGACCAGTGATAATGAGCTTTTTTAAAAATGTTTGTTGGCTGAATAAATGTTTTCTTTTCTTTTTTTTTTAATATTTGAGAATCATATATTTGAGAAGGAGACTATTTACAAAATACATTTAAAAACTCTTACATTTGGTAATGAAAATACAAGTAATCCAACTTAAAAATGAACAAAGTATTTGAATAGGCATTTCTTCAAAGAAGGTATCGAAACAGACAATAAGGACATGACAGATACTTAGCATCATTAACTGTTAGTGAAATAAATACAAATCAAAACTACCATGAGATACCAATGCATATTCACTAGAATGGTTATAATTAAAACAATGGAGGCCGGGCGAGGTGCTCACGCCTGTAATCCCAGCACTTTGTGAGGCCGAGGCGGGTGGATCACGAGGTCAGGAGATCGAGACCATGGTGAAACCCCTTCTCACCGTGCGCTGTGGCGGGCTCCTGTAGTCCCAGCTACTCGGGAGGCTGAGGCAGGAGAATGGCGTGAACCCAGGAGGCAGAGCTTGCAGCAAGCTGAGATGGCGCCACTGCACTCCAGCCTGGGTGACAGAGCGAGACTCCATCAAAAAAAAAAAAATGGAATAAAAAGAAATGAGAACACTCATCCATAGCTAGTGAAATATAAAATGGTGCAGCCATTTCAGAAACTGTTTGCCAGCTCCTCAAAATGTTAATTATGGAATTACTGTATGACCCAGTAATTCCTTTCTTTTTTTATCTCTTAGTTTTTTTTTATTATTATTATACTTTAAGTTTTAGGGTACATGTGCACAATGTGCAGGTTAGTTACATATGTATACATGTGCCATGCTGGTGCGCTGCACCCACTAATTCGTCATCTAGCATTAGGTATATCTACCAATGCTATCCCTCCCCCCTCCCCCCACCCAACAACAGTCCCCAGAGTGTGATGTTCCCCTTCCTGTGTCCATATGTTCTCATTGTTCAATTCCCACCTATGAGTGAGAATATGTGGTGTTTGGTTTCTTGTTCTTGTGATCGTTTACTGAGAATGATGGTTTCCAGCTTCATCCATGTCCCTACAAAGGACATGAACTCATCATTTTTTATGGCTGCATAGTATTCCATGGTGTATATGTGCCACATTTTCTTAATCCAGTCTATCATCGTTGGACATTTGGGTTGGTTCCAAGTCTTTGCTATTGTGAATAATGCCGCAATAAACATACGTGTGCATGTGTCTTTATAGCAGCATGATTTATAGTCCTTCCGAGCTATGGAAGGACATTCAAACCAAAGGCAAAGAAGTTGAAAACTTTGAAAAAAATTTAGAAGAACGTATAACTAGAATAACCAATACAGAGAAGTGCTTAAAGAAGCTGATGGAGCTGAAAACCAAGGCTCGAGAACTACGTGAAGAATGCAGAAGCCTCAGGAGCTGATGCGATCAACTGGAAGAAATGGTATCAGCGATGGAAGATGAAATGAATGAAATGAAGCGAGAAGGGAAGTTTAGAGAAAAAAGAATAAAAAGAAATGAGCAAAGCCTCCAAGATATATGGGACTATGTGAAAAGACCAAATCTACATCTGATTGGTGTACCTGAAAGTGACGGGGAGAATGGAACCAAGTTGGAAAACACTCTGCAGGATATTATCCAGGAGAACTTCCCCAATCTAGCAAGGCAGGCCAACATTCAGATTCAGGAAATACAGAGAATGCCACAAAGATACTCCTTGAGAAGAGCAACACCAAGACACATAATTGTCAGATTCACCAAAGTTGAAATGAAGAAAAAAATGTTAAAGGCAGCCAGAGAGAAAAGTCGGGTTAACCTCAAAGGGAAGCCTATCAGACTAACAGCAGATCTCTCCGCAAAAACTCTACAAGCCAGAAGAGAGTGGGGGCCAATATTCAACATTCTTAAAGAAAAGAATTTTCAAGCCAGAATTTCATATCCAGCGAAACTAAGCTTCATAAGTGAAGGAGAAATAAAATCCTTTACAGACGAGCAAATGCTGAGAGATTTTGTCACCACCAGGCCTGCCCTAAAAGAGCTCCTGAAGGAAGCACTAAACAGGGAAAGGAACAACTGGTACCAACTGCTGCAAAATCATGCCAAAATGTAAAGACCATCAAGACTAGGAAGAAACTGGATCAACTAACGAGCAAAATAACCAGCTAACATCATAATGACAGGATCAAACTCACACATAACAATATTAACTTTAAATGTAAATGGACTAAATGCTCCAATTAAAAGACACAGACTGGCAAATTGGATAACAAGTCAAGACCCATCAGTGTGCTGTATTCAGGAAACCCATCTCACGTGCAGAGACACACATAGGCTCAAAATAAAAGGATGGAGGAGGATCTACCAAGCAAATGGAAAACAAAAAAAGGCAGGGGTTGCAATCCTAGTCTCTGATAAAACAGACTTTAAACCAACAAAGATCAAAAGAGACAAAGAAGGCCATTACTTAATGGTAAAGGGATCAATTCAACAAGAAGAGCTAACTATCCTAAGTATATATGCACCCAATACAGGAGCATCCAGATTCATAAAGCAAGTCCTGAGTGACCTACAAAGAGACTTAGACTCCCACACATTAATATTGGGAGACTTTAACACCCCACTGTCAACATTAGACAGATCAACAAGACAGAAAGTTAACAAGGATACCCAGGAATTGAACTCAGCTCTGCACCAAGCAGACCTAATAGACATCTACAGAACTCTCCACCCCAAATCAACAGAATGTACATTTTTTTCAGCACCACAGCACACCTATTCCAAAACTGACCACATACTTGGAAGTAAAGCTCTCCTCAGCAAAAGTAAAAGAACAGAAATTATAACAAACTATCTCTCAGACCACAGTGCAATCAAACTAGAACTCAGGATTAAGAATCTCACTCAAAACCGCTCAACTACATGGAAACTGTACAACCTTCTCCTGAATGACTACTGGGTACATAACGAAATGAAGGCAGAAATAAAGATGTTCTTTGAAACCAACGAGAACAAAGACACAACATACCAGAATCTCTGGGACACATTCAAATGTTTTCTTTTGAGAAGTGTCTGTTCATATCCTTCACCCACTTTTTGATGTGTGTGTGTGTGTGTGTTTTCTTGTAAATTTGTTTAAGTTTCTTTTAGGTTCTGGATATTAGACCTTTGTCAGATGGATAGGTTGCAAAAATTTTCTCCCTTTCTGTAGGTTGCCTGTTCACTCTGATGATAGTTTGTTTTGCTGTGCAGATGCTCTTTAGTTTAATTAGACCCCATTTGTCAATTTTGGCTTTTGTTCCCCTTGCTTTTGGTGTTTTAGTCATGAAGTCTTTGCCCATGCCTATGCACTGAATGGTATTGCCTAGGTATTCTTCTAGGGTTTTTATGGTTTTAGGTCTTATGTTTAAGTCTTTAATCCATCTTGAGTTAATTATTGTATAACATGTAAGCAAGGGGTCCAGTTTCAGTTTTCAGCATAAAGCTAGCGAGTTTCCCCAACACCATTTATTAAATAGGGAATCATTTCCCCATTGCTTGTTTTGGTCAGGTTTGTCAAAGATCAGATGGTGGTAGATGTGTGGTGTTATTTCTGAGACCTCTGTTCCATTCCATTGGTCTATATATCAGTTTTGATACCAGTACCATGCTCTTTTGGTTACTGTAGCCTTGTAGTATAGTTTGAAGTCAGGTAGCATGATGCCTCCAGCTTTGTTCTTTTTGCTTAGAATTGTCTTGGCTACACGAGCTCTTTTTTTGGCTCCATATGAAATTAAAAATAGTTTTTTCTAATTCTGTGAAGAAAGTCAATGGTAGCTTGATGGTGATAGCATTGAATCTACAAATTACTTTGGGCAGGATGGCCATTTTCACAATATTGATTCTTCCTATCCATGAGCATGAAATATTTTTCCATTTGTTTGTGTCCTCTCTTATTTCCTTGAGCAGTGGTTTGTAGTTCTCCTAGAAAAGGTCCTTCACTTCCCTTCTAAGTTGTATTTCTAGATATTTTATTCTCTTTGTAGCAATTGTAAATGGGAGCTCACTTATGATTTGGCTCTCTGTCTATTATTGGTGTGTAGGAATGCTTGTGACTTTTGCACATTGATTTTTTATCCTGAGACTTTGCTGAAGTTGCTTATCAGCTTAAGGAGATTTTGGGCTGAGACAATGGGGTTTTCTAAATATACAATCATATCATCTGCAAACAGAGACAATTTGATTTCCTCTCTTCTTATTTGAATAGTCTTTATTTCTTTGTCTAGCCTGATTTTCCTGGCCAGAACTTCCAATACTATGTTGAATAGGGATGGTGAGAGAGGGCATCTTTGCCTTGTGCCGATTTTCAAAGGGAATGCTTCCAGCTTTTGCCCATTCAGTATGATATTTTCTGTAGGTTTGTCATGAATAGCTAGTATTATTTTGAGTTATGTTCCATCAATACCTAGTTTATTGAGAGTTTTTAGCATGAAGGGTTGTTGAATTTTAACGAAGTCTTTTCTGCATCTATTGAGACAGTCATATGGTTTTTGTCATTGGTTCTGTTTATGTGATGCATTATGTTTATTGATTTGCATATGTTGAACCACTCTTGCATCTCAGGGATGAAGCCAACTTGATCATGGTGGATAAGTTTTTGATGTGCTGCTGGATTTGGTTTACAAGTATTTTATTGAGGATATTTGCACCAGTGTTCATGAGGATGAGCTGAAATTTCTGTTGGCCTGAAATTCTTTTTTTTTGTTGTGTCTCTGGCAGGTTTTGGTATCAGGATGATGCTGGCCTCATAAAATGAGTTAGGGAGGAGTGCTTGTTTTTCTATTGTTTGAAATGGTTTCAGAAGGAACGGTACCAGCTGCTCTTTGTACCTCTGGGAGAATTCGGCTGTGAATCTATCTGGTCCTGGGATGTTTTTGGTTGGTAGGCTATTAATGACTGCCTCGATTTCAGAATTTGTTATTTTTCTATTCAGGGATTTGACTTCCTTCTGGTGTAGAGTTGGGAGGGTGTATGTGTCCAGGAATTTATCCATTTCTTCTAGATTTTCTAGTTTATTTGCCTAGACGTGTTTATAGTATTCTCTGATGGTATTTTGTATATCTGTGGGATAAGTGGTGGTGATCTCCCCTTTTTCATTTTTATTGTGTCTATTTCATTCTTCTCTCTTTTCTTCTTTATTAGCCTGGCTAGAAGTCTATCTAATTTGTTAATCTTTTCAAAAAACCAGCTCCTGGATTCATTGATTTTTTTTGAAGGGTTTTTTGTGTCTCTATCTCCTTCAGTTCTGCTCTGATCTTAGTTATTTCTTGTCTTCTGCTAGCTTTTGAATTTGTTTGCTCTTGCTTTTCTAGTTCTTTGAATTGTGATGTTAGGGTGTCGATTTTAGATCTTTCCTCCTTTCTCCTGTGGGCATTTAGTGCAATTAATTTCCCTCTAAACACTGCTTTAGCTGTGTCCCAGAGTTTCTGGTACATTGTGTGTTTGTTCTCATTGGTTTCAAAGAACTTTTTTATTTCTGCCTTAATTTAATTATTTAGCCAGCAGTCATTCAGGAGCAGGTTGTTCAGTTTCCATGTAGCTGTGTGGTTTTGAGTGAGCTTCTTAATCCTGAATTCTAATTTGATTGCACTGTGGTCTGAGAGACTGTTAGAATTTCTATTCTTTTGCATTTGCTGAGGAGTGTTTTACTTTTAATTATGTGGTCAATTTTAGAATAAGTGCCATGTGTTGTTGAGAAGAATGTATATTTTGTTGATTTGGGGTGGAGAGTTCTGTAGAGGTCTATTAGGTCTTCTTGGTAATGAGCTGAGCTCAAGTCCTGGATATCCTTGTTAATTTTCTGTCTTGTTAATCTGTCTAATGTTGACAGTGGGGTGTTAAAGTCTCCGACAATTATTGTGTGGGAGTCTAAGTCTCTTTGTAGGTCTCCGAGAACTTGCTTTATGAATCTGGGTGCTCCTGTGTTGGGTGCATATATATTAAGGATAGTTAGCTCTTCTTTTTGCATTGATCCCTTTACCATTATGTAATGCCCTTCTTTGTCTTTTTTGATCTTTGTTGGTTTAAAGTCTGTTTTGCCAGAGACTAGGATTGCAACCCCTGCTTTTTTTTGCTTTCCATTTGCCTGGTAAATATTCCTCCATTCCTTTATTTTGAGCCTATGTGTGTCTTTGCAGGTGAGATGGGTCTCCTGAATACAGCACACTGATGGGTTTTAACTCTTTATCCAATTTGCCAGTCTGTGTCTTTTACCTGGGGCATTTAGTCCATTTACATTTAAGGTTAATATTGTTATGTGTGAATTTGATCCTGTCATTATGATGCTAGCTGGTTATTTTGCCCATTAGTTGATGCAGTTTCTTCACAGTGTCGATGGTCTTTACAAATTGCTGTTTTTGCAGTGGCTAGTACGGCTTGTTCCTTTCCATGTTTATTGCTTCCTTCAGGAGCTCTTTTAAGGCAGGCCTGATGGTGACAAAATCTCTCAGCATTTGCTTGTCTGTAAAGGATTTTATTTCTCCTTTGCTTATGAAGCTTAATTTGGCTAGATATGAAAATTAGAATTCAAAATTCTTTTCTTTAATAATGTTGAATATTGGCCCCCACTCTCTTCTGGTTTGTAGGGTTTCTGCAGAGAGATCCACCATTAGTCTGATGGGCTTCCCTGTGTGGGTAACCCGACCTTTCTCTCTTGCTCCTCTTGCCATTTTTTCCTTCATTTCAACCTTGGTGAATCTGACGATTATGTGTCTTGGGATTGCTCTTCTCAAGGAATAACTTTGTGGAGTTCTCTGTATTTCCTGAATTTTAACGTTGGCCTGTCTTGCTAGGTTGAGGAGGTTCTCTTGGATAATATCCTGAAGGGTGTTTTCCAACTTGGTTCCACTCGCTCCATCACTTTCAGATACACCAACCAAATGTAGATTTGGTCTTTTCACATAACCCCATATTTCTTGGAGACTTTGTTAGTTTCTTTTCATTCTTTTTTGTCTAATCATGTCTTCACACTTTATTTTATTAAGTTGATCTTCAATCTCTGATATCCTTTCTTCTGCTTGATCAATTTGGCTATTGATACTTGTGTATGCTTCATGAAGTTCTCGTGCTGTGTTTTTCAACTCCATCAGGACATTTATGTTCTTCTCTAAACTAAGTATTCTCATTAGTAATTCCTCTAACCTTTTTTCAATGTTCTTAGCTTCCTTGCATTGGGTTAGAACATGCTCCTTTAGCACAGAAGAGTTTTTTATTTTGCATCTTCTGAAGCCTACTTCTGTCAATTTGTCAAACTCATTCTCCATCCAGTTTTGTTCCTTTGTGGGTGAGGAGTTGTGATGCTTGGGGAGGAGAAGAAGCTTTCTGGTTTTTGGAATTTGCAGACTTTTTGCACTGGTTTTTCCTCATGTTCGTGGATTTATTTACCTTTGATCTTTGATGCTGGTGACCTTCGGATAGAGTTTTGGTGTGGATGTCCTTTTTGTTGATGTTGTTGCTATTCCTTTCTGCTTGTTAGTTTTCCTTCTAACAGTCAGGGCCCTCTGCTGCAGGTCTTCTGGAGTTTGCTGGAGGCCCACTCCAGTCCCTGTTTCCCTGGGTATCACCAGCGTAGGCTGCAGAACAGCAAAGATTGCTTCCTGTTTCTTCCTCTGGAAGCTTCGTCCCAGAGGGCCATGCACCAGATGCCAGCCAGAGCTGTCTTGTATGAAGTGACTGTTGACCCCTGCTGGGAGGTGTCTCCCAGTCAGGAGGCATGGGGGTCAGGGACCCACTTAAGGAGTCAGTCTGTCCCTTAGCAGACCTTGAGCGCTGTGCTGGGAGATCCATTGCTCTCTTCAGAGCTGGCTACAGGAATGTTTAAGTCTGCTGAAGCTTCTCTCACAGCCACCCTATCCCCCAGGTGCTCTGTCCCAGGGAGATGGGAGTTTTATCTATAAGCCCCTGACTGAGGCTGCTGCCTTTCTTTCAGAGATGGCTTGCCGGATGAGGAGGAATCTAGAGAGGCAGTCTGGCTTGGGGAAGGAGTTCGCCTTGTGCTTCCTGCATTAGGTGACAGCTCACCCTGCTTTGGCTCATCCTCAGTGGGCTGTACCCACTGTCTAACCAGTCCCAATGAGATGAGTCAGGTACCTCAGTTGGAAATGCAGAAATCACCTGCCATCTACATTGATCTCTCTGGGAACTGTAGACCAGAGCTGTTCCTATTCAGCCATCTTGCCAGCCACCCCTCAAACACTATTTTTAAAATGAATCTTACATATTACAAATTAAATGATCTTTCTTAGAAGTTGTACTAGCTGGTATTGAACTCACATCAATTTCCAAAGTGTTTTAACTGACAGATTATTGGGTTTTTTTTTTAATTGGTGAGTCAGATCTCTAATTCATGTGCTTCCTCTGAAACCCTGTGTTAAGTCTGGTAATTCAAAATGAGCATCTTATTTTTTTCTTCTTTTAAATAAAGATTTTTGTGTTTGCCAAATAAAATATTGTTAAGTTTACCCAGCCATTTATCCCACAATAAAAATATGACTAATGTCTGCTATTGATCTCTTTATGCTAAATCATTTTCTATGGAGTCAGTGGCATAGAATCTGTTGGGGGCAAATACCCTTAGCTAACACCTTGAGATAATTAATTATGTTTACAGTGCAATCCTGTAATAACTGTTTACAATAACATTTATGCAAAAGTGGGTGTCCTGGTATAAAATAACTCATTCAACCATCAAACTCCCCCATTTGATTGTTCAATTTAATTGCTCCCTCTGCTACTCACACCCAGAAAATCTTTCACCACGTAGAATTATAATATTCTTATTGATCTAGTATCTACAAGTAAAGGCCTCCTTTCCTTGCCAAAGGCAATACTATTCCTTACTACATAAAAAGGTCAAATGATCCCAATCATAAGTGGGCAAGATCCAATATTAACATTTAACATAATCTCACAACAGTTTCTGATTTGATTTTATTTTATTTTCAGCTTTATTTTGTTTTCAATGATACATAATTGTACCCATTTATTAGCTACAGTACTTTCAGTACTTCCATTCAACATAGTACTAGAAGTACCACCCAGAGCAATTAGGCAAGAGAAACAAAAAAGGCACTCAAATCAGAATGAGGGAAGTCAAACTGTCCTGTTTGCAAATAACACAATCTCAATCTTATACAGATAAAACTTTATAAACTCCATCAAAAACCGTTAGAATTCATAGAAAAATTTAGTAAATTTGCAAGGTAGAAATGTAACATACAATAATCAGTGGGTTTCTGATTTTCTAATGACACAAAGTGGTTTTGAAATTTTTTTAGGTACCACAAACTCTTTTAGATGGCTATTATGATGGTAGAAAAAAAACCAAATCATACCAAATACCTAGAACTGATTATGAAAAGGGGATAGTAACGTACTTAAGAAAAATATTCTGCTTTGATTTATTTGTATCCCTTTAGAAGAGGATTAAAATGACAAGTGAATTCTCTAAAGATATCTATGTCCTCTACAAAAATAAGATTCTACGTTTTGTTTCCTCTATCATTTTGAACATCATTCCTGCCTTTTATCAGACACTTGTTTCCCTTTCCTATTTATTGGTTAATCGTCTTGGTGTAAGATTTAGACATTTCAAAGGCATTTGTAGATACAGAAAAGAAAAGAGCTTCTTATCAGTTGTATTATACAATCCATGATTGAATTTCTGTTTTGGACATAGCCACTGTAATTTTGATTATTCATCTATTCTTTTAAATGTATTTTTAAAGTAGTATGTTGGTCAGTATGAAGAGACATCAATCTATTTGCTGCTTTAAATGTGCTGGAACACTTCTGAAAGTTTGCTTGAGAATAATCAAATTTACTTGCTGCTTGAATGCACATTGTAAACTTTTGAGATTTTGAGAGCTGCTTTAGTTATTTTCCCATTAGATAAAGTAGCTTCTAACTATAATTGGTCTGGTTTAGACACTTAAAATATACTTCAGAGAGAGAGAGCATGAGAGCATGTGTGTGAAAGAGAGGCACTATAAAACAAGTTTTAAAACTTATTATATTTAACATTTTGTATTCTGTTTACTATAGTGCTGGAGTCACATTGTGAGCTATTACAGAATATTGTACATTTGAACTTGCAAAGTAAGATCATGACAATTTATATAAAATATGAATACAGACCTGCATAAGGAGCACTTTATAATATGTAGAACACTGAGATTATTTCTGTGCCAAAAAGATATAAAAGATAATTTTTTTAATGTTTTGCAAAGAAGCAATAAGAAAAATGAATTGAAAACATCAAGTGGGGCTGGCCATAAATAAAATGGAGCTATTTTGTTTTACCAATAGCATAAACTGCCTTTCCTCATGTAACGTCTTTTTCCCTTTCTAATAATTTATCTGAGAATCTGTGAGATAATTGGGACAACACAATTTTTGTAGAAAAAGAAAAATACTACCATATGATTTGAACTTTTAAATTCTTCATTGGCAGAATTAACTTTGTCAAAATATATTTTCACATCTTAATTTTGAAACTTCTCATCTTTCATAATATACCTGAAATTTTTAATTCCTTCAGTTTGGAGCACATTGTAGGTTTTCTATGAATAAAACTGATTGATATTTGTTGCTTTAAAAAATTTTAAAGCAAGAAAAGTAGCTATTGAGTAAGGAATTATGTCATAATTCATCAGTAAGTGCATTTTAAGAGAAAATAGGACATCTATAATCGTAAATTTGGCTTTTTATAAAGGTCAATGTAACCCTTCTTCCTTCAGAATATTTTCATATAAATGGAAAAGTAACCTTTCCTTCAGTGGATAAAATAACATTTTGTATCAGCAAACCTGAGTGAAAAGATTTCATGGTTTTACTATTGCTCTACACAAAGAAAAAATGAACATGAAATCTTAGTCATGTAAATATTAAGCAAGGTATTTAAATAGTACAGAAGATGAAGAACCCAAAACTAAACAAAGAAGTACAGAATGTGTAAGTAGGAAGACATGTAAGATATAATAGAGAAAGTTGGAATATATTCACTTTTAAACCATGTCCTAAGAATATCCTACATGGAGAATAAACTAAACTTCCAAGCAGGTGTCCTCAACATTTTTTAAAAAGCCACTTTTTCCTGCAGCATCTTTTATTTTTTTAATGATGAAACATGGGAAAATGGGTGCTGGCAGTGTAGTTGGTGTTGAGTTTGCTATACTTTTTCCTGCCTTCTCTGTTGTTCATACCAGTTGTAACCCTGGAGAACCATATAAAGAGAATTCTTGGACAAGCTTTGTTTGTTATGGTCCATAGAATAAAACTTCAGGTGACAATAGAGAATCAGATGCATGAAATGTGAGAGCTGAAAGGAATATGACAGATTGAGTCCAATGTAGAACAAATTTTCAGATGAGGAAACTAAACGTCAGAGATGCTAAAGAAATTGATCAAAGTCAAAAACAGAGCCAACCAACCTATAAGTTTACTTTCCCAAAAATATGAATATCAATGGTAGTTTCTCCTTGGGTTTGAAAGATATGTGGAGGACATCAGTAAGATGATGGAATAGAACTTCACCTGCTTGTATACCCCCTACAACAAAAATTCTGCACCTATCCATGGACAAAAGTCTCTTTGTCAGAGTCTTGAGATTCAGGTAGGAGGTTGTAAAACCCTGATGTAGTCCAACATCTAAGAGGGTTGTTTTGAGAGTGCACACCTACACCCATTTGGCAGGTTTGCTTATTATGCTCCCAGGTTTAGACCAGGAAACATCTTCATGCACTTAAGGTCTTGGATACAATCTTGTTTAGCCTTGAGCCTGCTACAAATATATCTGCCAAAGAGTCCAGAAAGAATCAGAAACAATAGAGCCTCGGCAGACAGGTTCGCCTGACTATGCAAGTGGGTCTTGGCAGTGCACCCAGAAGTGACTCTTAACTTGGCTCCACCCTGCCACAGCTGTGGTTCTGGCTTAGTACTGCTCACACGAGGACCCAGAGGGACACTTGCCCATTTGTGCCACTGGGACAGGCATACTGGCCTCCCTCCCTCAGCAGATCCTGAAGGAGACCAATCTTAGTTCCAGCCCCTCTCTGCTATAGCTAGGGAGTTATTCTGACTTTGCAGAAAACTGTTGAGAGACTCGCCCATCAGAGTCACTGAAACACACTTGCTGACTTCCATGATTTGCAGTGTATCTTGTAGGGGTCCTACCTTGGCTGCAGCCCTTCTTCCTGTTTCTGGGAGCTATCTTGAAGGCACAGAGATCTTCTAGGATACTTTCCATCTGAACCCCCAGGACAGGCTTGCAGTCACCATTCTACCACAGATCCTAAAGGGGCCTTGTCTCAGGCCCAGCCCTTCTCTGCTTAGCCCAGAATAAATCCCACCCACACAGAGTACTGATTTCTCCCTTTGTCGTATGCTTTTAGGGTAATTTCTAGAGACAACAAATGATTGAGAAATATTTAAAATTGTTTTCAACAGTTATTGTTTTTCTAAAAGAGAATATGTCAAGCTCTTCTGGGATTATATAACTTTCCTCAAAAACATTTCTTGCTATAATTTAAAGGACAGCTATATATTTATGTTTATTTATGTATAAATGGTTTACATGTCCTCTCCTAGAATAAGGTAAAATGTGTAGGAGGATGAGATAAAGACAAAGTAAACACTATTTTAGAACAAATTTTAATTTAATTGTATTTGTTTATGGTTTAAAAAATCCTTAATTTAAGATCTTGTTCTAAATATGGCTTACTAGAGGTGACTGGCACTCACCTCCTCCATGAAGAAAGACCAACACAGCAAATAGATAATCAAACATCAAATAGAAAACCTAACAGACAACACTGAAAGTCAGCAGGGAAGTGAGAGGGAGCCTCTGAGGCATGTAAAGAGAGGAAAATGAAGCAGCCATCCCAGCCAGAATTTGCTTAAAGCCAGGAGAAACTGCTTATTTCAGATAAAAGGAAAGTGAGAGCTCCCCAGCTATTGACATTTCCACATTCCCACATCCCCACAGCTGACTACTGTAATTCTAGCTGTGAAAGAAACCCCTGAAACTAATGGGCTCTGAGACTACTATAGGGAGCTGCCCGGAATCTTTTGGCATTGTTTCTGAGAGGGAGTTTGCACTGGCTGTCACATACCCCACAAGATGGTGCCATTTTGAGAGCCCAGCCCCTACTAAGAATAGATGCTGCCCTGGGGCCCAAAAGCTGTTGCGTCTTCACAATGCTAAAACCCCATTTACATCCCCTCATGGCACCTGGAAAGCTGCAAAGTTTCAACATTGGTTGAATGCAGCAGTATGGCCAGATCACCAGAATTCTAGCCCATGCAGTGTTCTACTTCACAAGGAATGGATGGTGTGACACACTGGAAAGCTGCCCTCAAAGCAAAGGGAGTCAAAGCATGAACTCCCCAGAGTCTTAGAGCCACCTGACAGGGATGCTGTCACTGATAACTAACAGCGCTATCTTTTCCAACAGGAAGGCCACTGCACACCTGCACACATCTTCAGGGAGCCTGGGGAGCAAACCACCTAGGTGCTATCCTGTGGCCTGAATACAAGCCTACCCACCAATGGCCACTCTTGCCAGTGCTTAAACATGCTTTCTGAAGGGTTAATGATTGACCTGCCTTACACAACTGCAGCCGGTGCCCACATGCACAATTGGATGGGGCAGAGAACAGGCCCACCTTGCTGGCAGCTTCCACCGGTAGCACCTGTGAGCACCACTCAGTGGCCTGGGGATTGGTCTATCCTTTCTTCCACTATAGGAGCCCATGGTTGCCATCAGGGATCCTGAGGAAAGGCTTAGATCCCACCCACCACGATAGCCAGTGGTATCCCAGAATAATATCCAGGGACTACGGAATTAACTCATCCTGGCCACTGTCACTCACACACACACACTACTGGTGAGTATGAAAAGAGGTCCATCCTATCCACAACTGCTGGCACTCATGTATATTGTCCAGGAATCTGGTGACTGACATGCCCAGCCCACCACTGGTGGCTTCCATGCACCCATTTTAGGGGCCTAAAGGTGTGTTCACCTCACTGTCGCCACCACCTGCATATGTCACCTGGGGTCTAGGCCCTGGGGCTGGCCTGCCCAGGCAGCCAATACCACCGCTGGCACCTATGCATGATGCTTGGGGGCATGAGGGTTCGTTAGCTATTGCTACTGCAATCACCTGTGCTATGTACGCCACTCCGTGGCCCAAGAACTAACTTGCCCATCTTCCCAGCCCATGGCTGGCTCTCAAGAAAGTTTTCTGGAAGTCCAAATATTCACCCACCTAGACCTGTAGCATCAGTGATTCTGTACACTTTCCAGGGGCCCAATGATTGATATAATAAGCCACCACGACCATCACTGGTTCCTGAGGACAGGCCAACCTGGCCATCCCCATTCCCAGAAAAGCCTCACCACAGCCCCCACTAACAATTGCAGCCTCAGCCACTGAGGAACTTCTGAACGCTACTGACATTTATCACAATAAAACAAATCATACAGAGACTAAACTACTGCACCCCGTGCATCAAAGCCACAGCACTCTACCCAACCAACACTATACTACATCTATACAAAAAATATTTCCCTATAAAAGGCAATCCATAAACTTGGAAGAAGCAAATATTATACCAGATGTGCAGATATCAATTTAATGACACAAGACATATGAGAACGCAAGGAAACATAACATCTCCAAAGAAACATAATAATTCTCCAGCAAGAGATTTCACTGGAAAGACAATCTATAAAATGCCTGAAAATAATTCAAAACAATACTATTAAAGGAGCTCAGTAAAATATATAGAAAAACAGATGAACAATACAAAAAATCAGGAAAACCGTTTATAGTCTGAATAAGAAATTTAACAAAGATATATAAGTGTAAAAAAGTATAAATCAGAAATCCTAGAACTAAATAATTCAGTGAATAAAATTAAAAGATAGAACAAGAGATTCAAGCAGAAAAAGAATATTTCTAAACACTAAGGCAGGTCTTTTGAAATAACACAAGAAAATAAATGGGCAAAGGCATAGAAAATCTATTTAGCATAATAATAGATGAAAATTTCCCAAGTCATGCAAGGCATATAGCCATCCAAATACAAAACATTAAAAGATCCCCAAATTGTTTCAACCTCCCCAAAATCTTATCCAGTGCACATAATAACAGTCAAACTGTCAAAAGTCAAAATAAAGAGAGAAATATAAAAGCAGCAAAATAAAAGCATCAAGTTATATGTAAAGAAAATTCTATAGACTAGCAGTAAACCTTGCAGTAGAAACCTTACAGACAAAAGAACAGGATGATATATTCAAAATACTGTGAGAGAAAAAAACTGCTAGGCAAGAATACTTACCCATTAAAGGCATCCTTCAAAAATGAAGGATAAATAAAATATTTCCCAGACAAGAAAAGTTGAGGAACGTTATAATCACTAGCCTGGCCCTACAAGAAATGCTTAAAGGAATCTTATATTTAAAAGTGAGAGGATGATAGCTACAATCATGTAAATGTATAAAAGTTTAAAACTTAAAGAGAAAACACACAAATGAAAAGAAATCAAAATTTACCAGTACAGAAAATCATCAAACCACAATGATAAACAACAAGAGAGAAAAAACTAACAAATGATATAAAAAAGAACTAGAAAGCAGCAACAAAATGTTCAGAATAAGTTTTCACCTATCAGTAATAAACTTGAACTTAAACAGATTAAACTCACCGCTTAAATGATATAGACTGGATGAATGGTTGTAAAAAAAGGCCTCGATGATATAATGCTTACAACAAACTCACTTCACCTGTAAAAACACATACAGACTAAAAGTCAAGGGATGGAGAAAAGCATTTCATAGAAGTGGAAATCAAAAGTAAGCAGAAATAGTTATACTTAGACAAAATAGACTTGGAGTAAAAACTGTAAAAAAAGAGACAAAGAAGGTAATAAGATCATGATAAAGGGATAAACTCAGCAATAGGAGATAACAATCCTGAATACGTCTGCACCCTACACCAGAGCACCCAGATATACACCACAAATATTATTATAACTAAAGAGGGACATAGACTCTATTACAATAATAGTTGGCTACTTCACCACACACCCCACCCCACTCTCAGCACTGAACATGTCATTTAGACAGAAAATCAATAAAGAAACATTAGGCTTAATCGCACTTTAAAATAAGTGGAAATAACATACATTCTATGCATCTGCATTTGGGACATTCTTCAGGTTACACTATATTCCAGGCTACAAAAATATCAATAACTTTTTAAAAAATTAACACCATATTAAGTATCTTCTCAGAACACACTGGAATAAAAGTAGAAATTATGAACAAGAGGAATGTTGCATAGAAATACATGGAAATTAAGCAACATTCTTCTGAACAAGAAGCCATTGAGAAATTAAGAAGAAACGTTTTAAAAAACAATATTGAAACAAATAAAAATAAAAATGCAACACGCAAAAATTTTTGAGACATAGAAAAAACAACCTTGTGGGGAGGTTTATAGCAATAAATGCCTAGGTCTAAATATGTAGACAAATTTCAGGAAGCTAATAATGCACTTCAAGGAAATAGAAAAGCACGAGCCAAACAAATGCTAAAATAAAATTAAAAAAAGAATAGAAACAATACAAAAGATCCAAAAGATCAGTGAAATAAAAAATTAGTTTTTTAAAACGAGTAGCACAATTTATAAGTCACAAGCTAGATAACCAAAAAAAAGACATAAATATAAAGAGGAACAACAACAACAAAAACAAAAGTACAAACAATGCCACAGAAATACGTAGGATAATCATAAATAATTATGAAAAACTATATACTAAAAAATTTTAAAACCTACTGAAAATGGATACATTTCTGGACACAAACAGGAAGAAATAGAAAACCCGAACAGACCAATAACAGGTAATGATATTCAACCAGTAATAAAAAGTCTACCAATAATCTAACTCAGGAATAAAAGGCTTCACTGCTGAATTTTACAAAATTTATACAGTAAAATTAGCACAAATTATTCTCAAACTACTTCAAAAAATTAAATAAGGAGTTATTCTTAACACATTCTAAAGGCCAGCATTGTCCTGATACCAAAACAAGACAAGAAAACAACAACAAAAAAACAGACTAATATCCCTAATGAACATAGAAGCAAAAATTCTCAAAGAAATACTAGGAAATCAGATCCAAAAACATACATGATATGGTTTGACTGTGTGTCCCC
Organism: Homo sapiens; assembly: GCF_000001405.40. NCBI lineage: Eukaryota > Metazoa > Chordata > Mammalia > Primates > Hominidae > Homo > Homo sapiens. The sequence continues at coordinate 82,379,257 of NC_000023.11, read as the reverse complement.
AACGAAATATCATGTCAAATTGTAATTCCCAATGTTAGCAGAGGGGTCTGGTGAAAGGTGATTGGATCATGTAGGCAGACTTCCCTTTTGCTGTTCTAGTGATAGTGAGTGAGTTCTTACAAGATCTGGTTGTTTAAAAGTGTGTGGAACCTCCCCTCTCTCTCTTCCACCTGCTCCGGCCACGTAAGACATGCCAGCTCCCCCTTTGCTATCCACTACGGTTGTAAGTTTTCTGAGGCCTCCCCTGTTATGTTTTCTATACAGTGTGCAGAATTGTGCATCAATTAAATCTCTTTCTTTATAAATTACCCAATCTCAGTTAGTTGTTTATAGCAATGTGAGAATAAACTAATATGGAAAATTAGTATCTAAGAGTAGGGTATTGCTATAAAGATATCTAAACATTTAGAAGCAACTTTGAAACTCAGTAATGGGCAGAGGTTGGAAGAGTGTGGAGGGCACAGAAGAAGACATGAAGATGAGGGAAAGCTTGGAACTTCCTAGACACTTGTTAAATTGTTGTGACCAAAATGTTGACAGTGATATGGACAATGAAGTCCAGGCTGAGGAGGTCTCAGATTGAGATGAGAAACTTATTGGGAACTGGAGTAAAGGTCACTCTTGCTATGCTATAGCAAAAATACTGGGAGCATTGTGCCCCAGCTCTAGGGATCTGTGGAACTTTGAACTTGAGAGTGATGATTTAGGGTATCTGGCAGAAAAAACATCCAAGCAGTAAAGCATTCAAGAGCTGGCCAGTTGCTTGTAACATCATATGGTCATATGTGTGAGGAATGAGATTACATAAAACTGAAACTTATATTTAAAAGGAAAAAAGAGCATGAAAGTTTAGATAATTTGCACCCCAATCATGTGGTAGAAAAGAAAAAATCCATTTTCTGAGAAGGAATTCAAGCTGGGTGCAGAAATTTGCATAAGTAAAGAGGAATGGAATGTTAATAGCTAAGACAATATGGAAAATGTCTCAAAGGCATTTCAGATCTTTGTGGCAGCCCCTCCCATCACAGGCCTGAAGGTCTAGGAAGGAAGAATGATCCCATGGGCCAGTCTCAAGGCCCCATTTCTCAGTGCAGCCTTGGGACATGGCATACTGCATCACGGTCACTCTAGGTCCAGCCATGACTAAAAGCATCCCAGATACATGGTAGGCCACTGTTCCAGAGGGTGCAAGTTTTAAGCCTTGGTTACTTCCATGTGATTTTAAGCCTGAGGGTATGCAGAAAGCAAGAGTTGAGGCTTGGGAGCCTTTATCTAGATGTCAGAGGATGCCTACATGTCCAGGCAGAAGTCTGCTGCAGGGGTGAAGCCCTCATGGAGAACCCCTACTGGGGCAATGCAGAGGGGAAATGTGAGTTTGGAGCCCCTACACAGAGTCCCCACTTGGGCACTGCCTAGTAGATTTGAGAGAAGAGGACCACCATCCTCCAAATCCCAGAATGGTGTGAACTGACCACTTGCACCATGTGCCTAGAAAAGTCACAGGCACTCAACACCAGCCCATGAAAGCAGCCATGGAGGCTCTACCCTGCAGAGCCACAGATGCGGAGATATACAAGGCCTTGGGAGCCCACACTTGCATCGATGTGGCCTGGATGTGAGACATGGAGTCAAAGAAGATGATTTTGGAGCTTTAATACTGAATGTCTGCTCTGCTGGGTTTCAAACTTGCACAGGGGCTGTAGTCCATTTCTTTTGGCCAATTTCTTCCTTTTGGAATGGGAATATTTGGCCTGTGCCCTCATTGTATCTTCACATTACAGGCTAATAGGCAGAGGGGACTTGCCTTGTCTCAGATGAGATTTTGGATTGTGTAATTTTGAGTTAATGCTGAAATTAGTTGAGACTTGGGAGACTGTTAAGATGGGTTGATTGTATTTTGCAATGTGAAAATGACATGAGATTTGGGAGGGGCCAGGGGTGGAATGATATGGTTTGAATTTTTGTCCTTGCTCAAATCTTAAGTTATAATCCCCAATGTTGAAGGAGTAGCCTGGTGGGAGGTGACTGAATCATAGAGGTGGACTCCCCACTTTCTGTTCTCGTGATAGTGAGTGAGTTTTCTTGATATCTGGTTGTTTAAAAGTGTGTGGCACCTTCGTCCCTTCCTCCTGCTCCAACCATGTAAGATATGCCAGCTTCCCTATTTGCTTTCCTTCATGATTGTAAGTTTCCTAAGGCCTCCCCAGCCATGTTTCCTGTACAGCCTTGGTAAATGTAAGTCAATTAAACCTCTTTTTCTTATAAATTACCAGGTATCTGGTAGTTCTTTATAGCAATGCAAGAACAGACTAATGCAACACCAAAAACATAATACATCATAATGAAGTGGGATTTATCCCAGGGATTCCAGGATAATTCATCCAACAAGTGAATAAATTGAATACACAGGAACTCAAACAACTTAATAGTCGAGAATAAATAACCCCATTAAAAATGGGCAAATGATCTGAATAGATATTTTTCAAAAGAAGACACACAATCAACCAACAGGTTTATGAAACAATGTTAAATATTGCTAATCTTCAGGGAAAAGCCAATCAATATCACAGTGAAGTATTATCTCACTCCAGTTAGAATGGTTACTGTTAAAAATCAAAAGATAACACATGCTGACAATGATAAGTAGAAAAAGGGACTCTTCTACATTGTTGATGAGAATGCAAACTAGTACAGCCATTATGGAAAACAGTATGATATTTTCCAAAAAAAAAAACAAAACTAAAAATAGAATTGCCATTAGATCTAGTAACCCCTTTACTGTTTATTTATCGAATGAAAGGCAAATCAGTAGTTTAAAGATATACCTGCACCCCTATGTTTATTGCAATACTATTCACAATAGCCAAGATATGGAGTCAATCTAAGTGTCCCTTAAGCAATGTATACATAAAAATATGGTATATATAAACAATAAAATACTATTCTTCAATCAAAATAAATGAAATTAGCAACAAAAATGTAATGAAAGTTCATTACGTTAATTGAAATAAGGCATGGAAGACAAACATTGCATATTCTCACTCATATGTGAGAGCTAAACAAATTGACCCCATGGAGATAGAGAGTACAATGATGGTTACTAGAGGTTAGAAAAGGCATCAGGGGAGACAAAGAGTATTTTTTTAATGGGTACAAACACACTCTGAAGGAATAAGTTCTAGTGTTTAATAGCACAGTAAAGTTAACAATATTCTATTATACTTTAAAACAGCTAGTATAGAAGGTTTGAAATGTTCCCAGCATAAAGAAATAATAAGTGTTTGATTGTAATATATATCCTAAGTATACTGATTTAATTTTTACACATTGTATGCATATATCTAATTATCCCAAGTGTTCCACAGATATGTACAAATATATATCAATAAAAAACACAAATTTGCTTTTATCTGGACTTTTGTGTGTTTCCTCAATGACATATGACTTCTTCTGTTTTACAATTAATGATAGAAACTTTAGAAGAAACTTCTAAAAAGCATTATGTGCAGTGAGAAACTTTGTGAAATGCTGGAATATCACATTACTTTAAAATTTGCTGGAAAAATGTGAAGTGTTAATGTCATGATTGAAAGGCTTATTTTGAAAATATCTTGTTAATTAGTATGGCTAAATACTATGATTATCTGGTATTGCAATACGAAATACAGTCTAGGAGTAATTCCTCATTAATGACAGCAGATTTAAACCCCTGTGTCAAATAGCCTTTTCAATAATTCCTATTTTGGAAGCAATTTCTTCCAAGATCTGATTAAGAGTCATTATATTTTGCCTTTTAATATGGTTTGATGATAAAGTCTTAATAGTAATAGTATTGCCAATTTTCCTGCTTCCTCGCTGTTAATGTGTCTTTACAATATTTATATTATTTCTAATTATTTGTAGGATTCTAATTCTTTGTAATAATTTCTTTCTAATTTCTTTGTAGGAATCTTTGTAATCTACCCATACATTTTGTAAGAGTTTGTTTACCTGAAACTACATAAAATAATATGTAAATCTACAGGAAAGTGGGCATGAGTAATCAGTAATATAATCTGCTGAAAAGAAAAATGAAATTGAGTTGGTGCTACTGAAAACTCATTTATATTTGGAAACTCCTACTCTTCCAACAGCATACTTAAGTGAGGTAAGTAACATTTTTTTTTTCTCTGACAAAGGTCTTGGTAAAGTTCAGTGAGGTAAATGTGTATATTAATTACTTTCCTATCATTTTACATAAAATAAATGTAAACAGAAATGTTCTTATTTTTTGTATGCACATATGATAATCTGGAGCATTCTTGGGCATTGCTTGACTCACTTTACAATATATATCTTGGTTTTCCAGTATCGGGTGCATATATATTTACAAATAGTATATCCTTTTACTGAATTGACAACTTTATTATTATATAATCAGCTTATTTATCTATTCTTGCAGTTTTTGTGTTGAAATCTATTTTGTCTAATATAAGTATAGCTACTCCTTCTCTTTTTTGGTCTTCATTGGCATGAAATACCACTTTCCATCTTTTTATTTGTAGTCCATGTGTGTCTTTAAAGGTGAAATGTGTTTCTTGTAGGCAACAAATCATTGTATCGCATTTTTGTATTGATTCATCCACTCTATGTATTTTGATTGGAGAATTTAGTGCATTTACATTCAATGTTATTATTGATAAGTAAGTACTTATTCCAGCAATTTTGTTATTTTCTGGTTGTTTTGCGGTCTTCTTTTCTTTCTTTCCTTCCTTCCTGTCTTTGCATTAGTGAAGGCAAATTTATCTGATGGTATAATTTATTTGTTCTTATTTTTTGTGTATTCAATGTATAATGAGGCTTACAAATTACATCTTATAATTGATTATCTTAAGCTGATAACAACTTAATACTGCTTGGATAATTAAACAAATTAACAACCAAAAACTAATAAAAAGTCTATACTATATATTTGTCCCCCAGCTTTTTTACTTTTTGTTGTTTCTATTTACATATTGTTGTACTATGTCTTGAAAAGTTGTTGTAGTTATTATTTTTGATTGGTTCATCATTTAATCTTTTTACTTAAGAGTAGTTTACACATTACAGTTACAGTGTTATAATATTCTGTGATTTTGTGTGTACTTACTATTACCAGTGAGTTTTGGACCTTCAGGTAATGTGTTGCTGCTCATCACTGTATTTTTCTTTCTGATTGAAGTACTCCCTTTAGCATTTCTTGTAGGATGGGTCTGGTATTAGTTAAATTCCTCAGATTTTATTTGTCTCATAATGTCTTTATTTGTACTTCATGGTTGAAGGATATTTTCACTGGATTTACTAATCTAGGTTGTAAGAAAAATGGCTGTGCTTCAGCCAGCAGTGGGCCGAGGCAGACATTCGGTACAGCATGACACAGTAGGTTGAAAGTGCAGGCACACAACCCCATGCATTATGTGATCACATTTATGGAGCCATTTTGATGTAACCTGTTTGTGTGAGCTCATACCTGGTTTTGAGCCACTGCTGTCTGTAAAAAATATAACTGCACTTCTGACTCCATAGAAGAGGGAGAGAAGAATAAAGCCATGTCCCATCTGCCTATGGTCCCTTGAGTGTTCTTTCAGCTATCTGCCACCCATCCACCAACTCCCCTTGGACCCCAGCTTGGGTTGGAACCTGACAATTGGCATACATGGCAGGATCCCAAGGTTAGTGAGATCTTGGCCCCCAGTGATCCTGGTTCAGCCATGTGGCCCCAGCATGGGTTGTGGTACCCAGTGGCAGCCTTGTTTCTAGGATGGGCCCCTGTGGAAACATGGGCGGCAGTGGATGGGTCCCCCATAAGCATGGAGAAGATGCTGAAGCACCTGGAAGCACAGAGCACCAAGTAGGAGAGTGCCTTTGCTGGCAGAGTTGGATGGGCATTTTTGACTGTGCTACAGGAAGTGCATGCTCAGTCCCTGGGGGATGCAGCACAATAAGGGACCTCCAGGTGAAAGCAGAGTGCCTGGAGTCCCAGATACATAGCTTGGAATGAGAACTAGCCAGGCCATTAGTGCAGGCCTGGGCTGACCATCCCAGTCAAAGACCCCTACTTGGACTGATACCAAGAAGTAAGAACGCCTATTGCGGGCTCACCCAGTGGTCTGTCAGAAAGTAGAGCATGAACAGCACTTGGGGTTCCAGGGGCAGGCTCAGGAAGCTCCAACTGTTATGGATCACATGTCATACAATGCTTATACCCCAACTGAGTTGTGGAAATTAGGTAAATAGTGTTGGTGGTGCTTGGGGGAACCCCTACTCAGCTGGATGCTTCACCTTTGGGATGAGGAAGCTGACAGAATTATATGCTCCACCTCAGAAATGGAAAAGTTGGCCTCCATTATGAACACCTCCCTCCACCTGTGATTGCAGGTGAACAGGTGGTTAGCACAGGGGCAAGGCAACCACACCCTAATTGAATGGCTAATGGCAGCCATACAAACGGTATAGAACAATGCTGGAGAAATACCAGAAACTGTGAGTAAATGGCAGTCATATACAGATTTGGTGCAAGTAATTCGGGAGATCAGAATGTGGCAGGCTATGTCTGATCTGAATACCTGAGGGCCAGATGATGAACGTTTTATCACCCACATAAGGGAACTTGTGTTGGGCAATGAGGCCCCAAGTGCCTTCGGCTCCCTGGCCGCTGTCCTCAGTCATATGTGGGGCACCATATACATGAGGTGACTACTGCCATTGCGGTCCTCAGGGAAGCAGAAAGCTGTCAGCAGGACTGGGGAGTCCATACCATAAAAAAGGAAAAGGCACCCCTTCGGCAGGGCCGCCACCTCACAGGACAGCAAGGGGCCCCATTAGGTGACTCACACGCAGATGTGGATTGATTTGATTTTAGCTGAGGTTGACTGAGAGAAAATTGATAAGCAACCCAATGAAGTGCTGTTAACTTTGTGGAGGCAATTGTCCCTGGAGCAGCAATTATGGAAAATGCCCAAGAGGGGGCAGGTTGCTGTTGCTCGATCCAGTCCTGCCCGGAGGCTGTAGGTCAAGGACTACTTGCAGACAGGCAGCGGTATAGAGCATTTTATGTTTGATTAGGGAACTGGCTGAGGTGCCCAGCTTGAGGGGACCCAGATGACTGGAGGCCATGTGTAGAATTGGCAATCCACTGGTCCCCCACCAATGTACAACAGGTGCTGGCACTGGTAGACACTGGCACAGATTACCTCATCTATGGTAACCCGGATAAATTTCTGGGCAAGGCTGCATACATAGATGGCTATGGAAGCCAGTCAGTGAACATGAAACCTGTATCTTTGCACCTTGGTATCAGCCTCTTGGCTCCCCAAATGTATAAACATTGTATACACTGTTTATGTCTCTCCCATACCTGAATAGATTCTGGGGTTGGCTATTTTACATAGCTTGACTTTACAATCCACAACTGGAGAATTCAGTCTCCAAGTACATGTGGTTGAGCTGGTACTGCGTGGACATATGCATCACAAGCCTCTGTTCCTGCCACAACCCCAATGGGTTACTTCCATCCATCAATACCACTTGCCAGATATGGAGATAATTGAGACTATTAAAAAGTTAGAGGAGGTGCAGATAGTGCACAGCACCCAAAATCCCTACAATTTTCTGGTATGTTCAGTCAGAAAGCCTGATGGAACTTGGCAAATGATGGTGGATTATTAAGAACCAAATAAAGTAACACTCCCTTTACATGCAGCTGTACTATCTATCATGGATTTGATGGACTGCTTGATGAAGTAATTGGGACAGTACCACTATGTGGTGGACTTGGCCAGTGCATTATTCTCAACTGACATTGCTCCAGAGAGCCAGGAACAGTTTGCCTTCACATGGGAAGGGTGACAATGAACTTTCACAATGCTGCCGCAGGGCTACATGCATAGCCCCACCATATGTCATGGTCTTGCTGCCACAGATTTAGCTGCTTGGAAATGTCCAAAGGAGGTCCACCTATTCCATTATATTGATGACATTATGTTAACCTCTAATTCTCTTGCAGATTTAGAGGTGACTGCACCCCTCTTACGACAACATTTGGCAACATGTGATGGGCTGTCAATGAATCCAAGGTCCAAAGGCCTGGATTGTCTGCCAAATTCTTGGGAGTTAACTGGTCAGGTAAGACTGAGGCAGGAAAATAGGGTCTGAAAGCAGGGAACGTAAGGACAATTCATGCTTCAGCTCTGACAGGAAATATCCTCTCCTTAGGGCTAACAATCTAAATAACTTTGTAACTGTATTGATACTCTCCATTTACATAGGGTGTACCCCAAGTAACCAGTGAAATCCTCTAGGGGGTATTCAAACTCCCAAAAATTCTGTAACAGGGTCTTTGATCCCCTATGCTCAGGCCCACTCCCACACTGTGGAGTGTACTTTCATTTTCAATAAAACCCTTCATTCTTTCCTTGCTGTGTTTGCTTGTGCATTTTGTCCAATTCTTTGTTCAAGATGCCAAGAACCTGGACATCCTACACTGCTAACATATTTTGGTGAGCTAGCCAGGAGAAAGAGGTAAGCCCAAAGTTTAAGATTCATTTTTCTCCCTTTCCTTTCTGCTCCATAGAAGCCCCCTCCCCCTCTCCCTCTCTCTCCCCTTTTCCAACTTGGGACCCTTCGTGGGCAGTGCCTAAATATGGAAGAAACTTCAGGTTTCTCGCCACGGCCAGTGAAACTAAAAGGTTTCCGTGTGGAGAAGCCTGACTGCCACCACCCCATTCGCTTAAGGGACCAGGGTCTTTTTCAAGTTTTGTGTTTCTTTTTTTCTTTCTTTTTCAGTCTTTCAGTGGCTGTTTCCTAGTAGTTCATTGGAAATTAAGGGCAATTGACTGGTGCCACTACCCGGTATTGCCTGAAGGCCTAGGAACGAATGAAAATAGTCCCCTGCCCTGAAGGAGGAAGGATTTAAAAAAATCTTTTTTACCTGTGGTCCCTGATCCTTACATGCAGTGCATCTCGGAGCAAACTCACACCTGTTTCAGGCAACTGAAACCTTATTTTCATACGCTAAAGTCTTCCCTTTTTGTACTCAACTGGCTGAGGAACGAAAAGGCTCACCCAGCATCCAGTTCTCATTACATTTCATGGCTATTTATTCTTACAAATCTCATAGTATGCTTTGGAGGGAAAACCTGCCTGTGGTGCACCCACCTAAGCCAGAGACGTCTGGAACTCTAAGATTGAACCCCACAGGAGGACACTCCATGAGTTCTGTGGACCTCAAACTGTCCAAACTGTCCTCACTCTCCCCTTGGCAGAGGTTCCGAGGTCTAGTATTAAACCGTCCTTGGAATCTTTTCTCACAGTTACAATGCTGCTTGGCCCCAAAATTGTTTAGAATCTGAAGTTTGCTCTCTAAGCAGAAAGTTGGATGGTGTTGCATGTATCCAGGCTTTTGTGTTGTTGTTCTAAGAAGGCGGCCTGGTTAACGTGTAACACCCTCTTTTGGCAATGTTTGACCCCAGTGCTCCTTGAGGAGGTTTAGCCTTTAAAAATCAACTTCCATGGAGACTGCTTTACCCGAAAATTTTAGTTCATAGCCTTCCTTAGATTATCTACTGGGCAAAGTAAAACCGGCAAGATTGTATTGGATCTCATGGCTAAAGTTCCAAGCTATTGGGTCTTCATTTATGTGTGTGTATACATGTCTAGATATGTTTATTCTTATGTATACTTATTGTCATATGTTCATCTACTAAATTAACTTATAAGTGAAAGAGTGCTCACAAATGAAGTAAAAAGTCTAAACAATTTTCAAGTTCACATGAGTTAAAGTATAACGTTATTAAACAAGCTAGCTTTAAAATTTTTGGCGGAATAAAAATAGAAATGCCTTCAGAATTGTCAGCATAAATTTTTTCTGTATTTTATCATTGTCTTTCCTAGGTATTTTCAAATGTCAGTGTTAATTCAAGCTGGGAGCTGCTTAGGGTCAGTCTGCCTCCCATTCTATTCAAAGTCTCACTGAAATAAATGCATAAGTGATTGCTTCCTTTGGAAAGGCTAATCAGAAACTCACAAGAATGCAACCATTTGTCTCCCACCTATGATTGGAAAATCCCCAAGACCCTCCCTGCCTTGAGTTGCCCTGCCTTTCCTGAACAAACCAGTGTTCATTTTACATATGTTGATTTATGTCTCCTGTCTCCTTTGTTAAAGTAAAAATTAAGTACAGTGAATGGGATAAAAGTTTTAGGTAAACTTTTTGTGTAAATTAAAATCTTAAAGTTATTTTTAACACTCATTTGATAACAGGGACACTTTCAATTAAGAAAGGGTTGTAATATGGAGAAAAGTGTTTCTAAAATTGTGGAATTGTTCTTATCTATAAATACCCATCTTTAATAGTTAAGAATTTCTTGCTTTTTAGGGTTTCACTGAAGTTTTAAGTTGCTAAGGATAAAATTTTTAGTTAACATGTAATTCCGTATCCAAAATATGCCATAAGGGTTATGTTATTAGTAAATAAAAATAATAATAATTTTGTATAATTCAGAAGTTATCTAAAAGTTAGTTCAAAATACACATTTACAAAGGTTATTTATGAAACAATGTAGTAAGGAACGATTAAGTAGGGGAAAAATGAGGAAAAAGTTTAAATAATAAAATATTCTTTAAAACCTGATAGAGAATTGGAGATATTTGGCTAATTAACATTTTCATAGTTAAAACTCTTAGTCTTGATTAAAGTAAAATAAAAAGTATTGTAAAAATACATCGGCAGTTTGGAAATTCTTTTTTTAATATAGCTAAGCATGAAGCTTGATTTAGTGTAAAGCCGAATTTCACATACATGCTTGCATTGCTTCACAGTGTTTACTGTTTTGCATGGATAGTGCTGAAGTACTTATTGGTCATGTGCGTAAAGTGAATTTCTTAATTGCACAGGGTGTATGCTGATATTAGTGAATTTAAGGATATTAAATTGTGTAGCAGGAATGAATTATTCATTATGTGGGTTTTTTCAGGGCCCCAGGTAACACTGTAACCTGTAGGTAAATTGAGTAGGAAAATTTAGGATTGGTTTCCTGCATATTTGTTTTTGTCTCTAGTTTTCATTTGTTTGCTGTTTATTCTCCTGTGGCTTTGCTTGTGTGTGCATATATATAAAACCATAATTTTTTTTAGTTCTTAGTGGAAGGCTTTTCTTTAGTTATGTGTTTCTATGCATTTCCAGCAAGTCATCATTCGTTCAATTTATCTCGAATTCCTAAGCTACCTTTGTCGGGCCTGCAGGAATTAATGGAGCACACCAGCTTTTTATCCTTAAACTAAGCTTTTGGATTTTAAGCTTCCTATTACTTTAACTGTGTTGAGTGTACTCTTTCAAACAGAATTTGAGTCATATTTCTGTCTCTCTGCCTAATTTCTCCAAAATTTGTAAAGTATATGTGAATATTCTCAATTCGCAGCAACGTGTTTGTATACAGTCAAGCAGGGTTGCCAGGGCCACTCAAGGAGAGAGAACCCAGAAACCTGGCATGCCTGCAAAAGGGTAAGAATTTCTTACCAGTCAGTCTCTGGCCTCTTTCTCTCTGTGCAAACTGGTTAATCTCTTCTGTGAAGTTTTAAATTAATTGATTTAATAATAACAGGAGCTTAAATCAAATATTTTGTCAGAAAAGTGAAAAATGTAATGCCTTTTATTTAGTTCATGTGACTTAAGTAATCTCTGGAAAATAAAGATGGTTTTAAAAATTATTGGTAAAATGCAGGTGTCATTAAAATGTAAATAGGTGAACCAAACTGTGTAGGTCAGATGCAAGGTTTGCTGAATGTTTTAAGTTAACAAACTGCTTTTGGGGTTTTAAAAACTATTTGACTTGCAGTCTACACAGTAGGTAAGGCCTGGGGACATATGGAACTAACCACACCCTTAACTAAGAAGGCAAACCTTGGCTGCAGTTAGCACACAATTAAACCAACTTACCAAATTTTATCTTAAAGCTAAAAATTGCTAGCAGTTACCATCATAACTTGTAATTAAAACTACTGAAAATAGATTTACATGCAAGGTATGTAAAAACAGTAAAATGTGTTTTCTAATAAAAGGTTATAAGAAGGAATGGAAATATAAATTTTTGCCTAGGGTTAAAGAATTCTTTTAAATTAGATAGGAAAAAGCTGAAGGTTCAAAGAAGTGGTGGAAAAATTGTGAAAATTAATCTTGCAGAAGAGGTGTCCGTGTGAACACGTTAATTAAATTCAAAAAGGTTATTAAAGGTTTTTACTTCTTTAAAATTTCTGAAGTCATCATTTTGGCAAAATAAATAATTTATGGTAATCTGGAAATCCAAAATCAAACTTTTGTTTAAAAATTGTCTTTCCTAATGCCTGGCTTTTTGGATGGATCAGAGGGTATCTGAAAACATCCAGAAAGGAGGTAAACAGGATTATTTAACATGTTTAGGTACATGAGAATGCCAAAATGATGTTCAATATTTTTAGGTTATATTTTTGTGAATAATACTAATATATGTTCCAAAATTGTATGGGATTTCTAAAATTCTAATGTCTAAGTATATGCTATCAATTATGATTATGGCTATTATGTTATGTTATTGTAAACCATAGAAATAACCAAATTTTATTTTCAGTGCTATGCACCTAATTTGAAAAAACAACTGGTATGCAAGAGGATATAAGTATAATTTTAATTAAGCATGGATGGACTCATGGAGAACCAGGATGGTCACCTTGTCCTTCCTGAGTCCTTGAAGTTTTATTATTAAAAGGTCTGCATTTCATGACTCATTATGGAAAACATAAAATGATCCAAATTAAATACATTGGTATAGTAACTTACAAATTGTTTAAAATAGTTTATAACCAATGCTTAATCCCATATTCCTGGGAAAACAATTAAAGCTTCAGGTACCTTTGGTCACCTGATGGGTCATTTATACATTTTATAAAGGGATTTCATTCAATTTTTATTTTCTGTGCATGTTATCTGGTTGTATAAAAGCTTTCCTATGCAAGAGGGCTGATGTTATAACAATAAATTATTATGCTCACAGTGTGTTTTCACCAGGTAAAGAAACTTTTTTATGCTTTAAATCTTCTGGAAACATGAGAGAAAGACTGCCTTTGTCATCCACACTACAATAAAACTTCAAAAACCTTGGGCTTTGGATTCATGGTCTCACAAATGAGAAGTATCCCTCCACACTTTTGGAACTGTGCACCCATTGGAAACCTTGAGATAAAGCTAACCAGGGAAATTTCTCCCAAGAAGAAAATGGCACCTTTGATGTGAATAACTTTTCCTAAGTTCACAGATGATTAAAACTTTTACTATCAAAAAACTCTTATCTTTGAATTTTTTTCTTGTTTATACTTCCATAAAAAATAGAAGTGGAAAAGGGGTCTGTTGTGTGCACTTGGGGGGTATACTTTTAATTGTAAAGTGGTTTGCAGCCAGCCTTACACATGGATAAACTTATACTTTGATAAATAAAAAATGAAGGCCCAATGTATGTAACAAAAACTTTAATGGTACATGTGTTGCCTCAAAATCAGTCAAAAACAAAGCATTGTTTCACTCCTCTTAACCCACATCATGGGTTAAAAAGAACATTGCCAGAACACTGCCAGAACACCTTCACTTTTTTAAAAGGGCATCATTTGTAGGTCCTTTTTCCATGGTTTAAAGTAAAGAAGCATTGTTAAAAAATGTATCCCTCATGATAGGTTCTGTATGTATCCCTCATGATAAATTCTACTGTAAAGGCTACAGTTACACAACAGACTTTAAAGTCTCTTGTAAAAGTTAGGGTAAATAATAGAATTGGATATACAGAAAAGTACCTGTGCAGCTGCTGGCACTTGTAGCCTATGGAAATATACATCAAATTAAAATTATAGGAATTCAGTGGTAGGTGACTAATAGAGTCTGCTTAGTTAGGTGAGCAAACTCTTTATCTAGCTCATTCTTTAATCTGTTTAATTTTAGAAGGTTTGGTTTATGAGGATCTTGGGTAAAAAGCATACTCCAAACTCTTAGTATTATCCTCCCAATAGTCATAATAGTAGTCTCCCTGGTGTGCTGTATGCGCTTAAAGGTTTTAAATGTTTGCATGCAGCTATCTCTAGAATGTCATATGGTCTCTCTTGAACTGGAATAAGAGGAGCTAAAAGAAATGTACAGCTATGAGGACACCATAACCTATAAATAATGTGCTGAGAGTGAAAACTCAAAATGACGGTAACTGAAAAGGGCGCTAAGGCCCTAAATTTTGGTCACAATCTCACCTAAGTGAGAACCTGAACAAAACAGGGAAATTTGTTAAACAAAATTCTGGGGAGCGATTGTTTTGGACTAAGCTCATACACTAGGCTTCAACAAGCCAAACTAAAGCAAAATGGAGTCGCTCATGCTAAGACTTTAAGAAAACACATAGATTCTAGAACAGACCAGGTTTTGTTTTTTTCTCCTACATATCTCTGTAATAAACATTTCTAACAGCATTGGTATCAACCCGCTGAAGTTCCTATTAAATATTTTAACCAAATCCATTTCCCGTCACCTAGAGGCTATCAAGCTTCAGGTAATCATGCAACAAAGGTTCCAGCCAGTTCCAGGTGAAACACCCCCCCAACCCCGGCCATCAAGAAGCTACCCTGCCTCCACTAGACAGAAAGGGGCAAAAGTTCCAAGATCCCCAATAGGTAGGGATTGTGTCCCAATCCAGCACGAAGCAGTTACGGGAAAAAAGACCACCAGTCCCTCTGCCTCCCATAAAGATTTATAGGGATCACATCTCTCAGGGGTCAGATGAGTCAGGAAAATAGGGTCTGGAGGCAGGGAACATAAGGCCAATTCACACTTCAGCTATAACAGGAAATATCCTCTCCATAGGGCATATGACATAACTTTGTAAGTTTACTTCATCCTCTCCATTTACATAGGGTGTACCCCAAGTAACCAGTGGAATCCTCTAGGGGGTATTTAAACTCCCAAAACTTCTGTAACAGGGCCTTTGAGCCCCTGTGCTCAGGCCCACTCCCAGACTGTGGAGTGTACTTTCCTTTTCAGTGAAACCCTTCATTCCTTCCTTGCTTTGTTTGTGCATTTTGTCCAATTCTTTGTTCAACATGCCAAGAACCTGGACACCCTCCACCATTAATAAGACCAAGGCCATACCAGAGGCCATCAGTCATAAAATTGAGGCATATCAGCCCACAATGATGAGGCAACTACAAACTTAGGTGAGCATATTGGGATATTGGTGGACATTCATGCCCTATTTGGCTCAGATGATAAAACCATTGTATTGATTGACAAAAAAGGGAACTACCTGGCATTGGGATAAGGCTGATATGGCTTTTCTGGCAGCTAAGTGGGCCATACAGCAAGCACAGACCGTATGATCCGGCACGCTCATTTGAACCCGATGTGCATGAGACCACAGATGGTTTTGACTGGGTCCTATGGCAGTGAATGGAGCACTTTAGACCACTGGTAGGCTTTTGGTCCCAACTTTAGAAGGGAGCTGAGCTCTGGTATTCATTAATAGAGAAGCAATTAGCAGCTGCATATGCCACCCTTCAGGCTTGTGAGAGTGTGACAGGATGGGCTACAGTCATCGTGAGGATGACTTACCCAATAGCAGGGTGGGTACATTCATGGGTAACAACACCCTGGACTGGGATGGCAGAGACATCCACCTTAGCAAAGTGGGGCACCTACTTAGAGCAGTGGAGTACCCTGAGTACGACCCCCTTAGCAGCAGAATTACAAGAAATCTTGGGACCTGTACTCCTGATACAAAATAAGGACATGGGTCAGCCTGAGCCACTCTTAAACCATGAACCATCACCATTTAAATAACGTTGCCCCCCCGTTCCTGATGGAGCATGGTATACAAATGGGTCCAGCTGGGATGTTACTGCTGCCTGGACCACTGTCATGGTCCAGCCTGGTACTGATATCATATGGTTTAACACTAGGTGTGGAAAAAGTAGTCAATGGGCTGAACTCAGGGCAGTGTGGATGGTGATCAACAAGGAGGAGACACCTATGGTAATCTGCACTGATAGCTGGGCAGTTTATAGAGGCCTGACCTTGCGGTTAACTACCTGGAAGTTACTGAATTGGCTAGTTGGTGCATTTGGAGCCAGGCCATTTGGTAAAACCTATGGGAAATTGGGAAATGGGCCACCAAAAAGATGTAACTATTTATTATGTTTCAGACCATGTGCCCTTGGCTGCCCCTGTCAATGATGAGGCAGATGCCTTGGCTAAGTTTCAGTAGTTGGAGTCAGCACCTACACAAGATGTAGCCCTATGTCTGCACAGAAAATTGGCCATGCAGGGGGGTAAACTAATGCAATAGGTCAATAAATGCTGGGGTCTACTCTTGCCATGCAAGATACCTGAGAGACCTGCCAAAAGCGTCCAGCATGCACACAGGCAAACCCCAGACAGAGACAGCTGCCTGGTGTTACACAATAAGTGACGGTAGGGCGGATGCCCTTGACTAGATGGCAAATAGACTACATTGGGCGTCTGCCAAGGTCACTGGGGCATACACATGTGCTGATGGCTGTAAAAACAACCACAAGTCTGTTGTTTGCCTACCCTTGTAGGATGGCAGACCAACAACATACCATTCGGGCCTTGCCACACTTGTGTGCCCTATATGGTTGTCTCTGACCATTGAAAGTGGTAGGGAAACACATTTTACTGGACAGTAGGTTCAACAGTGGGCACAATGGATGGACATAAAGGGGAGGTTCCAGGTTCCATATAACCTACAAGCTGCTGGTATAATTGAGCAATGTAATGCACTCCTGAAAAATAGGTAATGCATGCATGTTACTTCCCTGTCTTTGCAGGGCTGGAGTTCAAGGTTGATCCTGCTGCTCCAAACCTTGAATGTAAGGCCACACAGGGTCGCCACCCCCATCCAGTTAGATACTCGCCAAGGATGACCTCCTCTGACCAGGTATTGGAGATGAACGGTAATCTGTTGTTGCCTGCCCCAATGCCACTAAAGGCAGGAGAACAAAAAACCTGGTTTTGGCCATGGACCCTCCAATCCCCCCATTCCCAATAGCTGGCTATCATAGCCTCCTGTGGGGAGGGCCTACAGTATTATTTACATGTCACTCCTTGGGTATTTAATATATGCCCTCCACAATTGATCATTTGTAGGGGAATGGCCAGGGAAGAAACCCTCCTCTGGGGGACATATATATTGTCTGTGTGGCCTATTATGAGCTCCCCTGTGACTTTGGCATGGATACAGGATCCACAGGAACCATGGGGAGCTGAGAAGGTTTGGTACCCTATCGAAAGCTTGCTGTATCACATTCCAAACGTTGGCCATGGGACTCCAAATCTCTAACCATGTTCAGTTTTCCACAGAAGCTGGATGTATGTGCCAGGGCAAGCCATCCACGGGTGTTGCTGGAAGGGTAGGGCAGATCCAACAGTTGAAAACATTGGTCACCTCAGAGTAGATGTGTGCCAATTCCACAATGCTGTTGGAGCATGTCAACCTACAGTTGAAATAACAAAGCAGGCACAGGTACTAACAGGGTAAATCATTCCTCTCAGGCAAAATACAGACCAACCCTGCCCTAGGCAATGGTGCCAAACCTCAGCTTCCCCAATACCTGGTCAGAGGTATTGCAACAAAGGAAGAAGAGAAAATCTTTACATACATGTTCATACCAGATTCATTAAATAAAGCCAAAAATTAGAAACAACCTAGATGTCCTAAAGCAAATGAATGGATAAAAAAACTGTGATACATCCATACCATTGAATACTGCTTAATTAGCAATAAAAGTAAAGTATTGATACAGGCAACAACTTGGGTAAATCTCTAGGAAATTATGCTGGGGGAAAAAGCCAAACCCCAAAGGCTAAATACTTTATGATTCCATTTATATAACATTATTTAAATGGCACAATTATAGAAATAGAGAACAGATTAGTGGTTTCCAGGGATTAGGGATGAGTGAGTACTGGGGAGGGAATTGTGTGACATTATAAGAGAACATGAGGGATATTGTGGTGACAGATTTTTCCGGATTGTGATTGTGGTGTTGGCCACACAAATCTATGTATGTGATAAGTTGCATAGGAGACACATATATAAGTGCATGTAAAACTGCCTAAATCTGACTAAGGCCATTGGATTGTATCAGTGTCCATAATCTGGTTGGTACATCATGCTATAGTTATACAGCTACTAATATGGGCAACTGGGTGAAGAGTATATAGAATTAATTTTTGTATTATTATGGTATGAGACCACCACTTCTCCTGTTGTCCTTCCCAGTTTCTCCCCAACCTCCCCTTTTCCCTAGTTTATAAGACAGGAGAAAAGGGAGAAAGCAAAAAGTTGGAAAGAAACAGAAGTAAGATAAATAGCTAGACGACCTTGGCACCACCACCTGGCCCTGGTGGTTAAAATAATAATAATATTAACCCCTGACCAAAACTACTGGTGTTATCTGTAAATTCCAGACATTGTATGAGAAAGCACTGTAAAACTTTTTGTTGTGTTAGCTGGTGTATGTAGCCCCCAGTCACGTTCCTCACGCTTACTTGATCTATTATGACTCTTTCACGTAGACCCCTTAGAGTTGTAAGCCCTTAAAAGGTCTAGGAATTTTTTTTTCGGGGAGCTCGGCTCTTAAGACACGAGTCTGCAGACGCTCCCGGCTGAATAAAAAAACCTCTTCCTTCTTTAATCCGGTGTCTGAGGAGTTTTGTCTGCGATTCATCCTGCTACATTATTTAACAGCATACAAATCTCGATTATCTCAAAATAAAGTAAAAATTGTGCTAACAAATTAGAGATCAAATTATGAAAATTTCAGTTTAAAATGGTCAAAGCATAGGGATGGTTTAAACAAAAAGTCAGGTAAGTAGCTAATGAACGTACCAAAATATGTTCAAATTCAGTCATAATTTTTAAAATCAAAAGATAGTGTGATTCTAGTTTTACTAGTGTTGTTGAATAATTTTAAGATTTTGTTGATTATAAAAGTATAAACCAGTACAAACTTTCTTAATGATAATTGTCTTTAAACAAGATATTTCAATGATAGCACTGTAAAATATGAATGCAATCACTCAATCTCCCTAAGTTACACTTTTAAAGATGGTCATTGTAGCAATTGTTTATCATCCTAAGAAAATGAAAAATATAATAATTATTATTATTTTGAGGCAGAGTCTCTCTCTGTCACCCAGGCTGGAGTGCAGTGGCATGATCTCAGCTCACGGCAACCCCCGCCTCCTGGGCTCAAGTGATTCTCCTGCTTCAGCCTCCTGAGTAGCTGGGATTACAGGTGTGGGCCACCACGCCTGGTCAAAAAATATTATTAATAATTAGTTGAATAGTATATGGTATATGCATACAATGAAATGGAGTAAATTTATATGTGTTGTCATGGAATAAGCTCCAAGATATAGATTGAAACAAGCAATCTGAAACATAATATTTAGATTATGAATCTATTACTACAGGTACAAAAGAAAATAAAGATAGATGCTGGTATATGCATTTTTTCTGAAAACAAATATGAGAAATTCTTAACAGCTGTGTTTACCTTTGAATATGGGATTAAAGAGTAGAAAATGTACTAATACTTTTGTTTTTGTTGTTAAATTCTGTTTTTTCTTTTTCATTGTATATATTTATGAAGTACAACACGATGTTTTGAATATATTTTGTAACCATGTATCTATTGAATTTTTAAACCACAGAAGTTGTGTTGATGACAAAATTATAGTTTTCTTTTCTTTGTACCTCTTTGTATTAGTAAATAGAAAAAAATTTCTTACAACAAAAAAGTAAAGTAACATGTTAAGGTGAAAAAGCATAAGATTTTTTGTGATACCCCATTTAGCCTTTTGACATTGGCCATGATAACATTTCTGTTTCACAGTTTCTTCCACCTGTCGATGGAGATATTAACATCTCACAAGCTGGATTGTCAAGGAATGTAATACAAAAATTATGTATGTTTACTCATTGCATGGTAGTATTATTTCTGAGATATCACAGAGGCAGTATTTTGGACTCAATGTTGGTGTTCCCCAAAATTTGTATGTCAAAATTCTAACCTCTGATGTGGTGGTACTACAAAACAGAGACTATGTGGGGTGACTTAGGTCATAATGGTAAAGACCCCAAGCACGTGATTAGTTCCCTTATAAAAGATAATCCCAAGAGCTCTCCAACTTTCTCCCTTCCCTTCCTTTCCCCTCCCTCCCCTTCCCCCGCCCCCTCCCCTCCCATCCCCTTCTTTCTTTCTCTCTTTCTCTTTCTTTCTTTCTTTTCTTTCTTTCTTTCTTTCTTTCTTTCTTTCTTTCTTTCTTTCTTTCTTTCCTTCTTTCTTTCTTTCTTTCCTTTCTCTTTCTTTCTTTCTTTTTCTTTCTTTCTCTCTCTCTTTCTTTCTTTCTTTTCTTTTTTCAAATTATACTTTAAGTTCTGGGATACACATGCAGAAGGTACAGGTTTGTCACAGAGGTATACACGTCCCATGGTGGTTTGCTGCACTCATCAACCCATCTTTCTGACATTTGAGAACACTGCAATAATCTGTGAACCAGGAAGAGGACCCTCACCAAAACGCAACCATGACAGTACACTGATCTCAGACCTCCCACCTCCAAGACTGTAAGAAATAACTTTCAGTTGTTTATAAGTCACTCAGTCTATAGCACTCTGTTACAGCAGCCCAATCTAAGACAGACAGTGACAGATCAGAGCTGCCATCTTGTTTTCTAACACATATTCTTAAAATTCTGTCATATAACAATATGTCTAAATCCACCCCATATGTAGTCTGGCACAAGGAACCAATATTGACCCTTACCTCCTGCAACGCAAATTACTGTCAAAAGACAGGTGCAACATAGTTATGGAAATAAAAGGAACAAGAAACAGAGCAAAAAAGGAGAGCATCACATAAGTTGTGGTAGATACTAAGCGTTTTTATTATTAGAAATAATTCTAAAAGGTATGGGTTATTTTGTATATGATTAAAGAACATAAACAGAAAGAAGGAATGGGCGGAAGATAGAGAATAAGAAAATTCAAACTCTAAAGTATGCTTTTCTGCTTAGATCACAGTCTATCATGTTGAAGGCATAAAACTTCAGTCATTTAATGAGATAATTATTTGTTCCATGGTATATTTGCGTAGTTTCTTCACTACAGATTTGCTGTCTTTAAAATTGGTTTAAATATTATGCCTAAAATTTGTAGCACTCAACAAGTATTAAAAACTATAATAATTCAATTATTAAGCCCATTTTCTTTTTTTATTATACTTTCAGTTTTAGGGTACATGTGCACAATGTGCAGGTTAGTTACATATGTATACATGTGCCATGTTGGTGTGCTGCACCCATTAACTCGTCATTTAACATTAGGTATATCTCCTAATGCTATCCCTCCCCCCGCCCCCCACCCCACAGCAGGCCCCAGTGTGTGATGTTCCCTTTCCTGTGTCCATGTGCTCTCATTGTTCAATTCCCACATATGAGTGAGAACATGCGGTGTTTGCTTTTTTGTCCTTGCGATAGTTTGCTGAGAATGATGGTTTCCAGCTTCATCCATGTCCCTACAAAGGACATGAACTCATCCTTTTTTATGGCTGCATAGTATTCCATGGTGTATATGTGCCACATTTTCTTAATCCAGTCTATCATTGTTGAACATTTGGGTTGGTTACAAGTCTTTGCTATTGTGAATAGTGCCACAATAAACATGCGTGTGTATGTGTCTTTATAGCAGCATGGTTTATCATCCTTTGGGTATATACCCAGTAATGGGATTGCTGGGTCAAATGGTATTTCTAGTTCTAGATCTCTGAGGAATTGCCACACTGACTTCCACAATGGTTGAACTAGTTTACAGTCCCACCAACAGTGTAAAAGTGTTCCTATTTCTCCACATCCTCTCCAGCACCTGTTGTTTCCTGACTTTTTCATGATTGCCATTCTAACTGGTGTGAGATGGTATCTCATTGTGGTTTGATTTGCATTTCTCTGATGGCCAGTGATGATGAGCATTTTTTCATGTGTTTTTGGCTGCATAAATATCTTCTTTTAAGAAGTGTCTGTTCGTATCCTATGCCCACTTGTTGATGGGTTTGTTTGTTTGTTTTCTTGTAAATTTGTTTGAGTTCATTGTAGATTCTGGATATTAGCCCTTTGTCAGATGAGTAGATTGCAAAAATTGTCTCCCATTCTGTAGGTTGCCTGTTCACTCTGATGGTAGTTTCCCTTGCTGTGCAGCAGCTCCTTAGTTTAATTAGATCCCATTTGTCAATTTTGGCTTCTGTTGCCATTGCTTTTGGTGTTTTAGACATGAAGTCCTTGCCCATGCCTATGTCCTGAATGGTATTGCCTAGGTTTTCTTCTAGGGTTTTTATGGTTTTAGGTCTAACATTTAAGTCTTTAATCCATCTTGAATTAATTTTTGTATAAGGTGTAAGGAAGGGATCCAGTTTCAGCTTTCTACATATGACTAGCCAGTTTTAAAAGGTATTCAATTAGGAAAAGAGGAAGTCAAATTGTCCCTGTTTGCAGATGACATGATTGTATATCTAGAAAACCCCATTGTCTCAGCCCAAAATTTCCTTAAGCTGGTAGGCAACTTCAGCAAAATCTCAGCGTACAAAATCAATGTGCAAAAATCACAAGCTTTCTTATACACCAATAACAGACAAACAGAGAGCCAAATCATGAGTGAACTCCCATTCACAATTGCTTCAAAGAGAATAAAATACCTAGGAATCCGACTTACAAGGGGCGTGAAGGACCTCTTCAAGGAGAACTACAAACCACTGCTCAATGAAATAAAAGAGGATACAAACAAATGGAAGAACATTCCATGCTCATGGGTAGAAAGAATCAATATCATGAAAATGGCCATACTGCCCAAGGTAATTTATAGATTCAATGCCATCCCCATCAAGCTACCAATAATTTCTTCACAGAATTGGAAAAAACTACTTTAAAGTTCATATGGAACCAAAAAAGAGCCCACATTGCCAAGTCAATCCTAAGCCAAAAGAACAAAGCTGGAGGCATCACGCCACCTGACTTCAAACTATACTACAAGGCTACAGCAAGGAAAACAGCATGGTACTGGTATCAAAACAGAGATATAGACCAATGGAACAGAACAGAGCCCTCAGAAATAATGCCCCATATCTACAACCATCTGATCTTTGACAAACCTGACAAAAACATGAAATGGGGAAACAATTCCCTATTTATTAAGCCTATTTTCTACAACACACCACTTGTACTACTTAATGTTAAAAGAAAATTAAAAACTTAAATAATGGAATTACTTTAAGTAAAAAATGTGAGCCAGTGTTTATTTATTGTAATTTAAAAAAAATTTTAAATTTGATGACCTGTAAACTTATAAAATGCCCAACCTAAGAATTATATATTTTTGAAATAATAAAATGGTGCTTTTAAATCAAATTAGTAACATGTTTTAGTGATATTCCTAGTGATGAGAAGGATACAGTGAAATGAAAATTTGGAAACACTTTTGTTGGGAAGAAAATTAAATAAAGCATGACTTATTTTTATTGATACATAACATTTGTACATATGTATAAATATATGTAATATTTTGTTATCTGCATAAAATGTGAAATGAGCAGGGTATTTGGGATATCCATTAACTCAAGTACTTATCATTTTTATATATTGGGAACATTTCAAGTTCTCTGTTGTAGCTACTGTGAAACATATAATACATTGTTCCTAACTATAGTCACTCTACTCTGCTGTGGAACTTATTTCTTTTATCTAACTGTATGTTTGTACACAATAACCCACCTCTCTTCATTACCTCCACCTATATACCCTTTCCAGTCTCTGGAATCTATATGTCTACTGTCTCCTTCCATGAGATCAACTATTGTAGCTCCTACATTGTGAGTTAGAATAGTTGTCTTTCCATACTTGTATTATTACACTTAACAAAATGACCCCCATTTCCTTCCATGTTGCTTTAAATGACATGATTCCATTGTTTTTCACTGCTGAATAGTATTTCATCCTGTGTATATACCACATTTTCTTTATATATTCATCTGCCAATGGATACTTAGATTGATTCATAGCTTGCCTATTGTGAATAGTGCTGTAATGAAATGAGGATGCAGGTATGTTTTTGATATGCTGATTGTTTTTCCTTTGGATAAATATCAGTAGTGGGAATGCTGAATAATATGATAGTTCTATTTTCAGTTTTTTGAAAACTTTCCATATTGTTTTCCATAGTGGCTGTACTAACTTACATTCTCACAAACAGAACATGAGTTTCCTGTTTCCCACATTCTGCCAATCTATGTTATTGTCTTTTCAATAATAGCCATTATGATTGGGGTAACGTGATCTCTCACTGTGGTCTTGATTTGCATTTCTCTGGTGATTAGTAATGTTGAGCATTTTTTATATACCTGTTGGCTGTTTGTATGTCTTTTTATAAATGTCTATTCATGTGTTTTACTCACATTTTAATGAGATTATTTATTTATTTTTCATACTGTTTAGTTGTTTGAGTTCCTTATATATTCTGAATATTAGTCCCATGTCAGATGAATAGTTTGTAAAAATTTCTATCATTTCACAGGTTGTCTCTTTACTGTGTTGTTTATTTACTTTATTTGTATAGAAGCTTTTTAGTTTAATAGAGTCCCATTAGTCTACTTTGGTTTTTGTTGCCTGTGCTTTCGAGTTCATGGCCATAAAATCTTTGCCTAAACCAATGTCCTGAAGTGTTTCCTTCTGGTAGTTTTATAGTTTCAGGTTTCATGTTTAAGTCTTTAATCAATCTTGGATTACTTTTTGTATATAATAAAAGAAAAGGGTCCACGTTTATTTTTCTGCATATGGTTATCCACTTTTTTCAGCATTGTTTATTGTACAGGGTGTCCTTTCCCCAATGTATATTCTTGTTGTCTTTGTCAAAATTCAACTGTCTGGAAATATGTGGATTTATATCTGTATTCTGTTTTCTGTTCCACTGGTTTATGTTTTTGTGTTCATACCAATGCCTTGATGTTTTTGTTACCTAGACTTGTAATATATTTTGAAGTCAGGTAGTATGATGCCTCCAGCTTTGTTATTTTTGCTCAAGATTGCTTTGGGTATTCAGGCTCTTCTTTTGTTCCATAGACATTTTAGGATCATTTTTGTTATATCTGTGAAAAAATGACATTGGTAATTTGATAGAGATTGCATGGAATGTGTAGATTGCTTTGGGTAGTATGGTCATTTTAATGATGTTAATTCTTTCCATCAATGAGCATAGGATGTCGTTCCATTTGTTTGTCTCTTCTTCAATTTCTTTCATCAGTGTTTTGTAGATTTCATTTTAGAGATCTTTCACCACCTTGGTTATAATTATTTGGAATTTTTTGTACATATTGTAAATGACATGGCTTTCTTGATTTCTTTCTCTGGTAGTTCATTATTGGTGTTTAGAAACACTACTAATTTTTTTATGTTGATTTTTTATCCTGCAACTTAACTAAATTTTTAAAAATCATATATAAGAGTTTCTTGTTGAAGTAATTAGTTTTTTCTAAATATAAAATCATGTCATCAAAGATGACATGACATTTTCACTTCCTTTTTTTTTCCAAATTGGATGCCTTTTATTTCCTTCTCTAGATTGATTGTTTTGGCTAGGATTTCCAGTACTATGTTGAATAGGTGTGGTGAAAGTGGGCATCCTTGTCTTGTTCCACTTCTTAGAGAAAAGCTTCTCTCTGTTCAGAATTATGCTACTTGCTGTTGGGTCATATATAGCATTTATTATATTGAGGTATGTTTCTTCTATGCCTAGTTTGTTGAGAGTGTATCAAAGCAAAATGTTGAATTTTGTCAAATAACTTTTCTGCATGTATTGAGATGACCATATGGTTTCTGTCCTACATTATGTTTAAATGATATATTATGTTTATTGTTTTGCATATGTTGAACTGTCCTTCCTCTTCTGGAATAAATCTATTTGATCATGTCTATTGTCTTTATTATGTACTGATGGACTTTTGTGTCTATGTTCATTAGGATATTGGTCTGTAGCTATCTTTTATTGCTGTAACCTTGCCTAGTTTGGTTATCAGGGTAATGCTGACCTCACAGAATGAGTTAAGTATAATTTCTTGTTCTTCCCTTTTTCTAATACATTGAGGAGAACTGGTGTTAGTTACTCTTTGTAGGTTTGTACAATTTGTCAGTGAAGCCATCTGATCCTGGACTTTTCTTTTTTGGGACACTTTTTTTTAATTGATTCACTCTCATTACTTGTTATTGGTATTTTCAGGTATTCTATGCCTTCCTGACTTAATGTTGGTAGGTTGTATGTGATTCTCTCATTTTATTTATTTGGGTCATCTCTTTATCTTGGTTAGTCTCACTGTAAGTTTATTATTTTGTTTATTGTTTTCTAAGAAAAAACTCTTCATTTAATTAATCATTTTATTATTTTTAAGTCTCTATTTTATTTAATTCTACCCAGATCTTTATAACTTTCTTCAACTACTAATTTGGGGTTTGGTTTGTTCTTACTTTCCTAGTTCCTTGAGGTATATTATTAGACTGTTTATTGAAGTCTTACTACCTTCGTGATGTAAGTGTTCATTGCTATTTTGTGACATGTTCTGTAAATATCTCTTAGACCCATTTGGCCTAAAGTATGTTCATAATAAATGTTTCTTTATTAATTTTACCCTCAGATGATCTATCTAATATTGAGAGTGGGCTGTTTAGGCCCCCAATTATTATTGTGTTGGAGTCTATCCCTCTTTAAATCTAATAATATTTGCTCAATATTCCTGGGTGCTTCAGTGTTGGGTACATATATATTTAGAGATGTTATATTTTCCTGCTAAATTGATCGTTTTATGATAATATAATGACCTTCCTGGTCTCTTGTCATTTTTTAAAAGCTAAAGTGTGTTTTATCTGATGTAAATATTGATACCTCTGCTCACTTTCCATTTCCGTTCACATGTAATATCTTTTTATACTCCCTTACTTTTAGTCTATATGTCTCTTTAGAGTTGAGAAGAGTTTCTTATAAGCAGTGTTTATTTAGGTCTTGTATATTTATCCACTTAGCTAGTCTTTATTTTTTAAACTAAAAATTTAATCCATTTACATCCAAGGTTATTAGTCATGTATGAGATCTTATTCCTGTCATTTTATCATTTGATTTTTGGTTATTTTATAATCCTTTTTCCTTTCTTTCATTCTTGTTGTTTATCATGGTGGTTTTATATTTTTTGTGTGTGGGGGGATAAAATTTGAGCCCTTACTTTTCCTCATTTGTTTGTTTCCATTACAATATTTTTTATACTATTGTGTATTTTCATGGTGGTAGAAATCATCCTTTCAATTTTAGTTGTGTAGATTTTTTTTTAAGCATTTCTGGTAGGGCAGGAATAGTGGTTATGAATTACCTCAGATTTTGCTTGTCTTGGGAAGAATTTATTTTTCCTGTATTTATGTAAGTTAACTTTTCTAGGTATAGTATCATTGGCTGGAATTTCTTTTTTCTTTCAACACTTTGAATATATCATCTCATTCTCTTCTGGCCTGTAAGGTATCTGCTGAGAAATCCACTGTTAGCCTGATGGGAATTATCTTGTAAATGACTAGATGCTTTTCTCTTGCCGTTTTTAAATTTCTCTCTTTGTTTATAATTTTTGACAGTTTGACTCTTAACCGTTCTGTAGAGAAGACTTTTTTGCGTTTATCTCTTTGGGAATTTTTGAGTCCCTTGTATCTATATATCTAGATTTTTTGCTAGAATTGAGAAAATTTTAGCTATTAATTTGTTAAATATATTTTGTATCTCTTTATTTTACCCCTTACCTACTGGGACACTGAAATTTGAATATTTGGCTGCCTTATGGTATCCTATGTGTCATGTAGACTGTTCATTTTTAAAAAATTATTTTGTCTTCATTTTTGTCTGAGTTATTTCAAAAGACCTGTCTTCGAGTTTTGAAATTCTTTATTGCTCTTCAGTATAGTCCATTGTTAAGGCTTTCAAATGTGTTTTGTGTTTTTTTCAATAAATTCTTCATTTTCAGAGTTTCTGTTTGGTTCTTTTTTATTATATCTACGTCTTTGGTAAATTTATTATGCACCCCCTGAATTTGTTCTGATTTATGTGTACTGTTTATGTCAGTCATTTTGAATTTAATTGAGCTTCTTTAATATAATTATTATGAAGTCTTTTTCTGAGATTTTATAAATTTCTTTTTCAATGGAATCTTTTACTGGATAATTATTGTTTATTTGGAGGTGTCAAATTTTCTTGCTTTTTAATATCTCCTGGGTTCCCACATTGACATCTGTGTATCTGGAATAACATTTGGTTCTTGTATTTATTGAGTTTGTTTTTGAAGTGGAGGAATTTTTTTTCTGAAGACATGTTGGAGGTGTAGGTTCAGGAGAACATTTTGGCTTTAGTTCTGGGTGCATTCAATAGTGCAGTATCCATATGATTTATTCAGCTATAAACAGTGTCAGAAATGGCTTTTATTTTCTTAGTGCTTTAGGGTTCAGATGTTAATGGAGGCTGTGATAAAATTTTGCTAATAATGGGGACATCAGGTGGGCTAGGCCTTGGGCCCCAGTGGTGGCATCGGCATGTTCCATGTGCCTGTGTTTGGTTTCCAGGAAGACGTAGTCTGACATTGGTGCTAGTGAGTCCAGGCATGTGAATTTTGGGGCCTCCATGCAGCCTGCTAAAGTGGTAGTATTAACAGTGTTAGGCTGTACAGGTGGGTGGGTCCTCAGGCAACTGGAAAGTAGTTGTGGCATGACTGATGACAATAACTGTGGTGGGACAATCCCTTGTCTCACTAGACATTCACGCTAGTGTTGGTGTTGTCTGTGATGGGCTAGGCTAGTCAGTCCACAGGTCTGCACATGGTGTGTGTGGTGTGGGTGGGTGACTGCTGTGATGGTGGTAACAGGTTGGGTGGCAAGATCCTTGGGCCCCCAGAAAGACTGCTCAGATGCCAACAGTAGTGGATGGAACAGGATAATTCCTAGGCACCCAGAAGGCATGCTTGGGCACTAGTAGGGGGTGGAACCAGCCTGGAGAGGCCTTTTCTCAGACATTCTGGCAGTGCATACAGGCACTGTCTATGGTAGGCAAGAGCAGGGTGATCCCAAGGCCCCTGCTGTAAAATTCTCAGATGAGGACAGAAGTAGCTTCTCTGTGTCTCTGCTGCTGAGGATGGTGGGATCGCTTTCAGTGGCAGCAGCCATAGATAGGCTGCTGGGGAGTTTGTGCTTTGGCACCAGGTAGTGGCTGTAAGTAGGGCGGCCTTTTTCCAGGGCACTTGTAAATTGCATGGCAGCCCTGCTATGAGGAGTAGTGGGGTCTCTGCCAATGGCTTGCCTTTTGCCCTGGTGGCAGCAGCCAGTGGCAGCACCCAGCCATGGGCAAAGTATGTGAAATGTTTTGGAAGTTCCCCACCCCAAATCTCATCTTGATTTGTAGTTCTCATAATCCCCATATATCTTTGGAGGGACCCAGAAGGAGGCAATTGAATCATGGGGGCAGTTACTCATATGCTGTACTTATGATACTGAGTGAATTCTCATGAGATCTGATGGTTTCATAAGGGGCTCTTTTTCCTTTGCTTGGCCCTTCTTTCTGACACCATGTGAAGAAGGACATATTTGCTTCCCTTTCTGCCATGATTGTAAGTTCCCTGAGACCTCTCCAGCCATGTTAAACTGCGAGTCAATTAAACATCTTTTCCTTATAAATTACCCAGTCTCTGGCAGTTCTTTAAAGCTGCAATGAGAATGTACTCATACAGCAAATTGGTACCACAGAGAGTGGGGTGCTGCCATAAAGATACCTGAAAATGTGGAAGCAACTTTGGAACTGTTCAACAGGCAGAGGTTGAAACCGTTTGGAGGGCTCAGAAGAAGTCAGGAAAATGTGGGAATGTTTGGAACTTCCTAGAGACTTGAAAGGCTCAGAAGACAGGAAGATGTGGGAAGGTTTGGAACTTCCTAGAGACTTGATGAAAGGCTTTGACCAAGATGCTGATAGTGATATGGACAACAAAGTCCAGGCCGAGGAGGTCTCAGATGGAGATGAGGAGCTTACTGGGAACATGAGTAAAGGTAACTCTTGCTATGCTTTAGCAAAGAGAGTGGCAGCATTGTGCCCCTGCTCTATGGATCTGTGGAACTTTGAAATTGAGAGTGATGATTTAGGGTATCTGGAAGAAGAAATTTCTAAAGAGAAAAGTATTTAAGAACTGACCAGCTGCTTCTAACAGCAGATGATTATATGTATAAGCAAAGAGATTATCTGAAACTTGAACTTATATTTAAAAGGAAAGGGCCAGGCACGGTAGCTCACACCTGTAATCCCAGTACTTTGGGAGGCCTAGGTGGGCAGATCACCTGAGGTCAGGAGTTCAAGACCAGCCTGACCAATATGGTGAAACCCCGTCTCTACTAAAAATACAAAAATTAACTGGGCATGGTGGCGGACACCCATAATCCCAGATACTCTGGATGCTGAGGAAGGAGAATCCCTTGAACCCAGGAGGCAGAGGTTGCAGTGAGCTGAGATTGTGCCATTGAACTCCAGTCTGGGTGACAGAGCAAGACTCGTCTCAAAAAAGTAGAAAAAAAAAAAAGGGAGAAGAGCATAAAAGTTTAGGTAATTTGCAGCTTGACCATGTTGTAGAAAAGGAAAAACAATTTTTTTGAAAGAAATTCCAGCTTACTGCAGAAATTTTCATAAGTAAAGAGAAGTGGAATGTTAATCACCAAGACAATGGGAACAATGTCTACAGGACATGTCAGAGACCTTCACAGCAGCCCCTCCCATCACAGGCCTGGAGGACTAGGAGGGAAAAATTGTTTCATTGGCTGTGCCCAGGGCCACCCCCCTGCTCTATGCAGCCTTGTGACATAGTGCCCTGAGTCCCAGCTGCTTCAGCTCCAGCTATGGCTGAAAGGAGCCAATGTACAGTTAAGGGAGTTGCTGCAGAGAGTGCAAGCCCCAAGTCTTGGCAGCTTTCACTTGATGTTGGGCCTGTTGTTGAACAGAAGTCAAGATTTAAGGTTTGGGAAACTCTACCTAGATTTCAGAGGGTGTACGGCAATGCCTAGGTGTCCAGGCAGATGTTTCCTGCATGGGTGGATCCCTCATGGAGAACCTATGCTAGGGCAGTGCAAAAGACAAATATGGGGTAGAGCCCCCACATAGAGTCCCCACTGGGGTACTGCCTAGTGAAGCTGTGAGAAGAAGGTCACCGTCTTCCAGACTCCAGAATGGCAGATCCACCAAGAGCTTGCACTATGCACCTGGAAAAGCTTCAGGTACTTAATGCCAGTTGCTGAAAGCAGCTGGGAGGGGGGCTATATCTTGCAATCCCACAGGAGCAGAGCTGCCCAAGACTGTGGGAGCCTGCCCTTTGCATTAGTGTGACCTGGATGTGAGACATGGAGTCGAAGGAGATCATATTGGAAGTTTAAGATTTAATTACTGCCTCGTTGGATTTTGGATGTGCATGAAGCCTGTAGCCCCCTATTTTTGGCCAATCTCTCCCATTTGGAACAAGTGTATTTACCCAGTGTTTGTACCCCAGTTGTATCTAGGAAGCAACTAACGTGCTTTCAATTTTACAGGCTCATAAGTAGAAGAGACTTGCCTTGTCACAGGTGAGACTTTGGACTTGAGCTTTTGAGTTAACGCTGGAATGAGTTAAGACTTTGGGGGACTGTTGGAAGGGCATTATTTTGTTTTGAAATATGAGGACATGAAATTTGGGAGGGGCCAGGGTGGAATGATATG
This sequence comes from Homo sapiens, assembly GCF_000001405.40. Classification (NCBI taxonomy): domain Eukaryota; kingdom Metazoa; phylum Chordata; class Mammalia; order Primates; family Hominidae; genus Homo; species Homo sapiens. The sequence continues at coordinate 82,347,377 of NC_000023.11, read as the reverse complement.
GTTTGACTGTTTCCCCACCCAAATCTCGTCTTGAATTGTAGTTCCCATAATTTCCACATGTCGTGGGAGGGACTGATGGGAGGTGACTGAATCATGGGCATTTACCCTCTTGCTGTTCTCATAATACTGAGTGAATTCTTATGAGATCTGATGGTTTTATAAACGGCTCTTCCCCCTTAGCTGGGCACTTCTCCTTCCTGTCCCCATGTGAAGAAAGACATGTTTGCTTCCCTTTCCACCATGATTGTAAGTTTCCTGAGGCCTCCCCAACCATGGTGAACTGTGAGTCAATTAAACGTCTTTCCTTTATAAATTACCCAGTATCGGGTATGTGTTTATTGGCAATGTGAGAACGGACTAATACAGTACATCAAAGGGGCTCCAGGAATGTGGAGATGCAGGGGTAGTTGGGCCCCAGAGCAGGATGTAGTCTGGTGTGGTCTTTGCTATCTAAATGGTACTTTGATGCATCTGTTTAAGACTCAGGGGGGTGTGAGAAACGTTTTAAGTTTTCTCTGGATCAATATTGGCATATGATCTCCAGGTAGCTCCCTATGTCAGTCTCAGGGATCACATGGGTTAAGTAATCTCTGGGCGCTAAGATTTCAGGATTCTGTGCTTTTAATGTGGACCATGTGAGTCACTCACTTATATTTTTCCCACATTGTTAAGCCTCTTCAGTCTCTGAACTGAGCAGGCTGCTTCTCTTCCCTCTCCTTCCTTGCTTTAGGTTTTTCGGGTCATTTGTTGAACTCCAGCATTCTCTCTTAGGTGATGTATTCAAAGTTTGATTATCTACTCGCTATTTTCATTCTTCTTTCTGGAGGAGTTGAGTACCAGATACCTGCAGTCAACCATCTTGAATCATAATTTCAGATACAGCTTAGAAACAAATGAATTTTAGTGGTACAAACTACAAGCCTTAGAATTTTTATATCACATAACCTAATTATTCTACTTATAAGATATATCCAAAAGCAATAATCAGAGCAGTGTCAAAAGATTTATGCACAAGGATTTTTTTTGCTACAATATTTGTAGAGTAGTGATAAGTTTAAAATAGGACAATGAAGGTTAATTTAAAAGAATGGCTTAGCATGCCATCAGGAAAATGTTTTTTGTAATATTATGGAAATGAGAAACTGTTCATGTACAATATTTTCTTAAAGAAAATAAACTTTATATAATTTGAGCCTCAAGTAAAACATACCTATATTTAAACTGAAAAAAGAAACCTGAAAATAAATCTATCACAATACTACCAATTGCACTGTAGTTGTGAAATTACAGGTAATTTTCTTTTTTCTTTTGGTGCTTTGCTACTTTTTTTTATAATGAGTATCTATAAAATTTAACATTAGAAAAATAATCATTATAGAAGAAGACAGTAACATTAGGAAGTGTTTTAATTTGCTCATAATTCCACCTATTGTTTTAATTTTGCATTATAGTGTTCATTGAGGTTTGAACTGCCACTTGATTACTTTTTCAGACTTGGTGATTATATCAGACTCCGTGATTATATCGTTGACAATTATAAATCTGTAAAACAGTCATTTGTAGATACCTGGAATTTATACCTTGTTATCTCAGTGAATTTATGCAAACCAGTAAGAGTATTACAAAAGGCTTCTGTAGTTAGGTTATTAGAAAACATGGCCCCAAAGCTATCTACGAATGCTGGAATCCAAAAAATGTTCAGAATTAAAAGAGTGTGTGTAGACAGCCATGCTTGATCTAAGTTTTGAAGAGAAAATTGAAACCATGCATGTGATTCAATGAGATTTCTATAAACAATATAATCCACAGCATAGTGCCTTGCACCAAATATTTTTCTCCCCCCAATAAATGAGTCAGTCAAGCAAGGCACTTTAATCTCAGCAGGGACCAGGAAAATTGCTTAAAACACATAGGAGGTAACTATAACAGCTTCTGTTGAATGCAGATTTTAAGACCATTACCAAGTGGTTCTAAAATTACATGCAAAAGGGAGCTACTTGGTCCTTCATTAAATATGTGCACACATGCACACGTGCACACAAAGAGAACAATTTGTTCACTATTTATTGGCAACTAATATGGGTTACATTACGGATTGTAATGTGTAATTCTTGAATTCTTGTTCTTAGTAATTTTAGTTTAATAAAGGAGGCAAACGTATACAAATAATTACAATACGAGATTATATATGTGATGCAGCTGAAGAGAAGTGCGGAACTTTTGGCATGGAAATTCACAAGAGGTGAAAAGATGCTTTTAGCTGAGGGATCCAGGAAAACTTAACAGTACAGGTTACAGTTTGCGTCAATTTGGTTTAGATAAATTTTAAATATGGGCTATAGGATAAAGGAGGAAGAATAGAATATTCTAGCTACAAAAAAGATAATGATCAGAGTCAATGGGAACTAGGCAGTGAAACTGATTGAAATAAAAGTATAAAATAGTATACTATTCCCTACTTCTTCTCTGGCAATCCCTACCCCATGACAACATACACACATGAACACAAACGATCCTTATCTCCCTAGTCAAAAGTTCAAGAGATTCTACCCCATTGTAAAAGAATTTTGGGATACATGAAACCAGGGGCCAGTGATCCACTCTTTTATATAACTGAAATGCTGGAGGCTGCTGGTTGAAGAGATGTCGTGCATCTTCTGGCTTGTTATTCTGAGAGAATAGCCTACCAGACCTCCATCTCCTTTCATTTGAAGTTTTACATTGTGAGAAGAACAGAGCTTATTAAACTTTATTATGCATCAGTTCTAAGTGAAAATGTCCTCATTGAATATCCTATCTTGGTTACTAAATAAAGCAAATTGATCTAGATTCTAAGTACATCTATTAGAACTTAGAGAATTAGGCTAGTTGAAGAGCTCAAAAATAATTCTTATATGAAAGAACCATAACTCTAACTATTATCATCTAATAAAAGTTAGTCAAAATGACTGCTTTGTTTTAACCTTTTAAAGAAAGAAATATAGTTGTTATTCTATATATATAAATCTAATTATTCACTGGGGATACAATAACTTTTTAACTTAGCCATATGTTGCTCTTTGATATCAGCTTTTAACATCTTTTGAGCTGAAAATTAAACAAAATATTTTTAAAAGTTCTGTAATCTGACTCTCCAGTAGAAGAGAGATGTATTTCTAATCTGAGACAATCTCTCAATCTTGAAATCCAGTAGAGCAGACAAAATAGTCTGAAAAAACACTATTGAATGCTTTTATGACCTAATAGAACAATGTTTCTATGTATTATTGGAGGGTTTTTTGTATTACATCATATACAATTATATAACATCTTTTTACAAGTACTGCTCATTTAGATCACTATGTATGCTAAATCCAGTAATGGGTTGGAAAGCTAGCATATGTGACACAATTACTAAGCATATTAGAAACTTAACAAAAAACTAACCAGTGTCACTAACAGCATACATATATATATAATAGCATATATATAAATATTTACAATAGCATACATATAAATATATACAATAGCATATATAAATAAATATAATAGCATATATAAATATATACAATAGCATATATAAGAGCATACATATAAATATATACAATAGCATATATAAGAGCATACATATAAATATATACAATAGCATATATAAAATATATATATAATAGCAGATATACATATGTATGAGCTAGTAAGGTTTGTTTTAATAATGTCTAATAATAAACATATAAACATATGACTTATGAAATCTTATTCCTAATGATAATAATGCTATCTAATTAAGTGTTCCTTAGGTTCTAGAGCACCGTCTAAACATTTTATTGGTTTTAACCCATTTAATCCTTGCAACGTTTTTTGAAATATGTTTGTTGTTTTTCATTTGTTTATTTGTTTTGTAGAGATGTGATCTCACAATGTTGACCAGGCTGGTCTTGAAATTCTGGCCTCAAGTGATCCTCCAGCTTCAGCCTCCCAGAGTGCAGGGATTACAGGCATGAGCCACCGGCCAGGAATGTTTTCTTCAAAAAATTTACAAAATGGTAAACATTTAAGAACAGCTTTCTTAGGTAAAAACAAATAAATAAACAAACAAACAAATACTAGTTTGCAAGTGACATAGCCAAGAGGTAAACTCAAATACTGTAGTTTAACTCCAGAGCCTAATTATTTAACCATTACTTAGTTGTTTCAAGTAGAAAGTCATACTGCTGCTGAAGAACACTTGATTTGCCATGAAAGTGTCATCAGTTCTTCCAATTTAAAACTTCCTTTTCTTTGGGGTTGTTTGTACTAGTTAAAAAATAGGAATTCATATATCTTCATGACATTGAAAAATAAGGTCCTATCTGTGTGTGCTGTTTTCTCTGCTCGCTCCCATAGACCTAACCTTGTTTATGCTTTAGACTTAACATTTTTAATTCCTTCAGCTGCTTCTAAAGTGTTCACTACTGGTGACGAGTGTAATCATTTTTTTTTCATTATAGTCAAACTCTTGTTCACTTGGTCATTGCCTTGGATCTTTGTGTTCAAAGGCAATTATACTGAAACATATTGAGCTGGCTGTGATTCCTTTGTTGTTCTGATTTGGACTGCTTTCCCTCTGACTTTCTTTAATATGTCACAGCTCCCCCTCACCATGATGATCTCTTACTTCAAACAAAGCTTGTTTGTTCGTACTTTAACTAACTTTCAGTCCTCACACTGAGAATTGTGAAACTATCTTGATCTACTACATAAGAGTACAAATCGAGAGAAATCACATATAATCTTAGATACATCACCATAAAAAACATGCAACTGTTTCTGCTCTTTTTTCAGATGCCATATAGAATGTGAATTCATGTTCATGAAGACGATGCAGGAGTAAACAAGTAGGAATCCTCATGATATAATATTTCTCTTATCTAGTTATTTCTATCATATTACTTCTTTCCACATCAGGATAACCATAGTCTGTCCTTCCATTTTGATGTTTTAGTTGTCTCTTCCCTACAAGGGAAAATATTTTCTTCCTTCATGACACATTTACCTTTGTCACACTCTTGCCATTTTTACTTAAAGGTTACTTTGTGTTCACTATATTAGGCTTTCATCCTTAATGTTTTTTTTAAAGCTTGGGAATAAAAAAAAGAACAGAAAACTAGGCATGTTGTAAACATTTAAATGCCTAGTTTGAAATTCAGATGTAGGCAATTACTTTTTTGTTCTATGTGTATCTGTCCTCCTCTTACCTGCTTTGAACTTATTCTATGGAATTCATACATACTTTGGTGAACATAGGCCTTTCCACCTATCTATATTATAGTCCAGAGATAAAGTATAAAAGTGCAAAATGAATGTGGAGCTTTTTGGTTAATCATAGGAAGGATTCTACCCTGAGCCTTGGTTGGACAGAGATCATTTGATTTTTATTAAGATGATTTGATTTACACAATTTACACTTATTGTAATTATTGATGCTTTTGATTTCAAGTTTGACATTCTTTTTTCTGTTTGTTTCTTTCTCATTTCTCTGTCTTCTTTTCCCCACATTGCTGCAGATAATTTGAACATTTCTTTTAGAATTCTGTTATATTTTCTATACTGCTTTTAAGTTTGTGTTCCAGAAATAAGTGAAAGAGACTGACAAATATTAAATCTCTGTACATCTGTGTGTGTGTGTGTGTGAATGTATGCATGCACACATAATTTGACAAGACAGAAACCTACACATTCCAGAAACTGAGTTTGCTCCAAAACATGATAAATTGAAATACATTTATGCTAAATGTCAGTGTATTTGGAAAGCTGTAACTGAATACCATACACTGAGTGGCTTATCACAACTGAAAAAAATTATTTCTGACAGTTTTGGAAGCTTGGAAGTTTGAGATCAAGGCACCAGCACATCCAGTGTCTGATGATAATCTGCTTTCTGGTACGTAGATGCCATGTTTTTCTATGTGTAAGCATGTAGTGGGGTGGTAAGGGATCTCTCCCAGGCCTTTTTTTGTAAAAGCACAAATTCCATTAATGAGGGCTTTACCACCATGACCTAATCACCTGCTACAGGCTTTGCCCCTTCATATCATCACTTTCATGTTAAGGATTTCAATTTATAAATATGAAAGGGAAGGTACAAACATTCAAAACAAGGCAAACAAACACATCATAGTTCGATTTATGAAGACTAAAAGCAAAGAAAAATTGCTGAAAGCAGCAAAAGATAAATGACATCTTACTTACAGGGAAAAGACAATTTGATGACCACAAATGTCTCCTCAGAAACTATGGAAGCCAGAGAGAAGGAGCAAAATATTTTTTTAAAGAAAAGAGCTATCACCCTTCCTGTGTTTCCAGGTTTCCAATTTCTCCAATACTACCATGGATATATGGGGCAAAGAGAATACCAGGGAATGCATCACTATGCCATTCCTCTGGTTCCAAGGTCTCTAAGTACATCTGCCTTCTTCTCTCCTACTTTCAGATTGTTGTCATTTTGTTTTGAATATAGTGTTTATGGTTTTTATCTGTACTTATTAGAAGGTGTAAGGAAAAGTATGTCTACTCCATCTTGTCTGAAGCAGAAGTCAAAGAGTAATGTTTTAAACCATGTTTTAATGTTTTTATTTCATTTATATTAGCCTCATTGAAATGAGGCTACCATTCAGCAATTTCTATATCTGTCCTATTCCTATCCTATGTCCTGTTCCTATTCTATGTCCAATTTATACATCTGTCCTCTTCCTATGAGAGGACACTGTATGAGATATATACAGTGAATTCATCTCATTCACTTCTAGAATTTTATTTCATCAAAAAAAAGAGTTGCCTGTGTTTTAAGATGTGGCTTGATTAATGCAGACATAGATGTATGTCTTAAATATTAAATGTTTTTCGGGAGTTGTAAAAAGCTAATCTATCTCTCCATACTAAAATGTCAGCATGAATACATTGAGTTTTTCAACAATACACAAATAGTAATAGATTCAACGACCTCTAAATCATAAAAGGCTAAAGGAAGAATAGGTTTGCAATTAACATACGTCATACATTAAGATAGCTGAGTTCTAGTCTTCATTCTTTCAGAAATTTGTTTTATGACTTTGTGTAGCACACTCCTTTTTTGAACTTCAGTTTCCCACAATTCTTCAATGAGCCCAAAGCCACAGGTTGACAGGAGAACTAATCCTTAAACTAAGTACCCTTGTAGTAACAATATCAATGCAAAGTCAATTATTAACTTTAAAAGATAAATATAACTATTTCCACATATGATGAAATAGACTTGAAATTAAGTAAAACAGAGTAAATAAATCATATTAAGTAAATAAAAATTTTCTATATAATGTAAATTTATATAATTTCAGTCTATTCATTCCTTCATTTCATAAAATTATTTTTGAGCCCTTGTGCCAAGCTCTGTTTTAAGCACAGGAGACACAGTGCTGAAAAAGAGAAATATGGTGATTTTTCTCAGGGAACTTAAATTCTAGTGTGGAAAGAAACCCCAAAAATGTGCAAGAAAAAACAAAAAAAAAACCTGTTAATTTGAAATAAAGATAGTGAATAAAACAAACAAACAGAACAGAGTTAAGCATAATAGGAAGAATAATCTTCCTTGAATGAAATAGTTGGATAAATGTATCTGAGTGGTTGACATAAAGCTGAGAACTAAATAGCAATATTTAAAATTTAAGGTGTTTCCATTAATACAAAGGTGAACATTAAATCTAAATATATTTTTACATTTGAAGAACTAGCCAAATTTGAAAATTATCTATAGAATTGCTTCAAAATTGCTGACCTAATATCACATTTGGAGGAAAAAAGCGTCAAAATGGCATGACTTTATCATGTACTGGCTTATCAGTGTGAAGATTATTGGAAAGATACTATTCCAACAATATTTTTGCAAACTCTGTAACCCATAGCAAATACACTAAATGTGCACAGCCTGATAAAAATTAGCACATTAGCTCATCGTGTTCCAGTAAAGATTTGGGATTTTATTTTATGCACTAGAATCTTGTGTGTGAAATATTCTGAGGTTGAAAATGTACTTAGTAAAAACTTGTCACTTATAATGTACTTGCTAGCATGTTTTTAAATCTAAAAATTCTACACTTGAAAGTAAAAATAATAGCAGCTTCATTAATTCCAGGTGACTAGTTTACAAATTATTACATCCATTTATTCACTGGACTTTAAATTCAAGTAAGCATTGAATCAACTCTAATTTTATATTCAATAATTAATACATATATTGATATTTGTGGTATATTTTAAATGTGAAAATAATTTATAACATTAGCCTGTAAGAAGCTAGTTTTTATTTCTAAACCAAATGACTATGTTGAATAGAAATGTACACTGGACTTTTCAAGTGATGGTCCAACTTTGGAAATTTCTTTAAAAATCAAGAATGGCTACTAATAAATTGCTTGGTAAAAATTCTGTATATAATTACATTGAACAAAATAATAATTTATTATGCTATGCAAGATCTCATTATTCCTGTTATTTTGTGGAAATAGATGGAGAAAGGGAGAAGAGATCAGAAATCCTGAGAAATACAGATAAATGTATTTTCTCTGATTAATCAATGAAGATTCTAATAAATCATGATGGCTATCATTCATGCAGAGCCAACCACAATCATACAATTAATGACAGTTGGCATTTAAATATTTTTTATATTTCAAGTAATAGAAAAAACAGTCTTGATGTATTGTCTAACTTAATTTATTTTTACAATAATTATAAGTAATAGGCAATACTGTCACCACAATTTTACAAGAAAACTAATGCTCAACAAATCTAAATAACTTGTAAAATTTCCCAAAGCAAATGAAAGGCTGAGGTGGTAATTAATCCCCGTTTCATCTGGTATTATGTCACAATTACAGCATTAGGAATTCCCCAAATTGGATGACCATCAAAAATCTTGGATAGCTTTATAAAATTACAGATTCCCAAGACTACCTCACAATTGCAGAATCATTTCCAAGTGTGATACATGGGAATCTGTATTTATAAAAGCTTTCCATCCTCAAAGATTGCCTACTAGATACAAAAGAAAAAATGTACCTATGAAATGGACAGATATGGTAGAGATCAATTTAATCAAATGATCAAACTCAGCAGAACCAAAACTGGGAAAAGCTGGTATAATGTGATATAATATGTTTTCTGATATGATAAATCTCTTATGTATTTCACAAAAATGTTTAGCCTGAATCCAATCTCAAATAAATTATCAAGATCAAAATGTTGGACATTTCTGCCCAACTATTCTGGTCTCTTAAACATAAATACCATAGAAGATAAATTAAAAAACTAGAAAATTTTAAAAGAAGTATTTGCTTAGATTGGTCAGGTGTGGTGGCTCACGCCTGTAATCCCAGCACTTTGGGAGGCTGAGGCAGGCAGATCATGAGGTCAGGAGTTTGAGACCAGCCTGACCAACATGGTGAAACCCCATCTCTACTAAACATGCAAAAATTAACCAGGTGTGGTGGTGTGCACCTTTAACCCCAGCTACTCAGGAGGCTGAGGCAGAAGAATCACTTGAACCCAGGAGGCAGAGGTTGCAGTGAGCTGAGATCATGCCACTGCACTCCAGCCTGGGTGACAGAATGAGACTCTGTCTCACAAAAAAAAAAAAAAAAAAAAAAAAAAAAAAAAGACACTAAAAAAATACAACCAAATTCATTGAAAGAAATCTGATTAGAACCTCAATTTAAAATGCATACACACACACACATACACTATAAAATATGTTTTAGAAATATGTGGGGAAATAAATGTTAATATTTTAGGTGCGATAATTATCCTATGAAGTGTCTAGGGTAAAATGTCAAAAATCTGAAGTACTTCATTTAAAATAAATAAACAAGAAAATGTGTATGTGTTTGCATGTATATATGGACACAGCAAAAGAAAGATGGAGGGAGGGAAGGAAGTAGAAAGCAGGGAGAGAGAGAAGACAAATGAATCAAAATGTTAAAAATTGATTAATCTCGTTGATGGGTATATAATGTTCATTGTGCCATTATTTATTTCTGTTTTCCTATAGACTTTTTATTCAAAATAAAAAGTTGAGTAAAGGGAAACTTACCATGTGAATCTGATGCACTGACTGGTTGAAGCTTTCTTCCGTCTCTGAGGTATACCATCACTCATTACATACCTAATATCTAGAACATATGTCTTAGAACTTACATATATCCACAGATGTTCATATTTGTCTAAAGAAAATAATATATCTCTTGGAGGGTGAAAATGAGAATGATGAAAGAACTAAAACATAGGAATGAAAGTGGGCACCAAAAGGGTGAAAATGGGTGGTAGAGTGGTTGAATTGTTGTTTGTGGTCATGCAGAATTTTTCTTGGCCACTTTTGCCAGCTGGACACCTCCAGCTGGCAACACCCCCATGTGGGCCTTGCTCGACGTGAGCCTGCTGCAGGAGGCACCTCGCCCACTAGGTCCACCTTCTGTACTGGCTCAGTCTGCTCCTGGGCTGGGCATGCCCCAGCCCACCTGTGTTATAGCTTGTACTCCTGTTCAGCGGTTTCCGAGTTCTTGTCCTGCACCTAGGAAGAACGAAGTTACACTGATAATCTCAGGGTGAAGAGGGTGAAGAATAATTGTATTGAGCAACAGAACGACTCTCAGCAGAGAAGGAAAGCGAGGGTTGTACCCCACCCAAAGTTGGGTGGTCTCTCCCTCATTGTGGCTGGATCTGGGCTTTATGGGCTCAGAATGGGAGAGGGCATGCTGATTGGTTTGTAAGTATGCAAAAAAACGTTAAAACTAAGGCACCATTTAGAGATGGGCACGACAGTGTAAAAAATCATTTAGGGAAGAGTAGGTCTATATAAAATAGGTAAAGGGTTGGGATCAATCAGAGGAAAGCACAGCAGATGGAAAGAGATGTTCTCACTCCAGTCCATGGATTTGACTTGTAGCTCGGCTTTCAGGCTTTAAAGTGTTTTTAGCTTGAAGATGAGTTTCACTAGGGACCCACCCGTGTCCACCTAGGATTTGTCACCTCCTGACACTATCAGTGGGTTATAAAAAATAATAAGTGACTGAGAGACAGCTGCATGGGTCAATTTATTGAAATATATTAAAAAGACAAAAGATATTCAAAAGTTGAAGTAAAAGCTCAAGAAAAAAGTATTCTAGGAAGCACTGGTTCCAGGGGTGTCCAATATTTTGGCTTCCTTGGGCCAAAATGGAAGAATTGTCTTGGGCCACAAATAAAATACACTAACACTAACAATAGCTGATGAGCTAAAAAGTCGCAAAAAAAACCCTCATAATATTTTAAGAAAGTTCACAAATTTGTGTTGGGCCAAATTCAAAGCTGTCTTGGGTCACATGCAGCCCATTTGCTACTGGTTGGACAAGCTTGGTTCAGGCAGTAGCAGAACAAGTCAGACAGGAATTCCTTTAGCCTCAGGGAAAGAAAAAACATTCTCTCAATCCAGAAATCCTCTTCACAAAAGTGGTAGAGAACAGAAACACTTTTGTTATTGAATATGCATTAATCCAGACTGTGATGCACATTACAGGCATTTTGTTAAGAGATTGCAAAGACAGAAAAGAAACTCTCTTATATTTCCAAGCAGATATGTACTATGTATATGTTTTTGAAACAAACAATACTCTTCAAGCAAGAAGACTTAACAGCACCTTCTGTCATACATAGTTCGTCTTAACTTTACATGGTAATTGGAGTAATCATCTACATTAGCTTTCTGGCTTTATCCAAAGAACAAACAAATTTCATGTGTCTTTATGACATAAGGTAGCTTGCAAGTTATAGCAAGACATTCACCAAAGTTAGGATTTAACCTTCCCACAGAAATTGGGAGATAGAGAGCTATCTCTCTTGTTTACACTTCAAGAACATGGCTCTCGAGGTGTTTGCATTTGAAGGAGATCAGACAATATTTACAAGTTTTCTAAGGTAAATGCTCAGAGAAAAGGGAGAAAAAGAATATACCTTTCAACAGTTTCAACAGAGAAAATGAAGCCTCTAAATATTAACGGTATGTATGTATCCTTACAGTATGAGGATAATACTAATTATGTTAATCATAACTACCACTATTATCAATCAGTTTAAATATTTTACATTAAAAGCTACCATTTACTAAGCACCTACTATGTACGAAGGACCAGGCAAAACACAATGTCAATGTTGTTCCATTAAATGCTTGAAATCCAGTAAGATAACTGTCACTACTATCTTTATTTTTCAGGGGAAAATACTGCAGTCTAGAAATTTAAAGTGGTTTACTCAAGTTCAAACAGCTAAGAAAACAGGGAGGCTAGATTTATGAAACTAGGCTTTTCTGCTTTCAAAGCTCTACTACATACAGCATCCCATCAAGATAGAAGCAGTACTTGCAGTGTCAGACTTGATGAGACAGTGAGCTATTTACTGTGAGCCCCAAATACTTGAGACAAGTCTCAGTCAATTTAGGAAGTTTATTTTACCAAAGTTTGGGACGCACACCCATAACACAGCCTCAGGAGGTCCTGATGACATGAGCCCAAGGTGGTCGGGCACAGCTTGATTTTATACATTTTAGGGAGACATGAGACATCTATCAATATAAGTAAGATGTACATTGGTTCCCTCTGGAACTCAGGACAACTTGAAGCAAAGAGGGGCCTCCCAGGTCACAGGTAGATGAGAGACAAATGGTTGCATTCTTTTGAGTTTCTGATTAGCCTTTCCAAAGGAGGCAATGAGATATGCATTTATCTCAGTGAGCAGAAGAATGACTTTGAATAGAATGGGAGGCAGGTTTGCCCTAAGCCATTCCCAGCTTGCATTTTTCCTTTAACTTAGTGATTTTGGGGCCCCAAGATTTATTTTTCTTTCACATTACCTAGGGCATCTGAGAATCCCCACCCCACTACCCACTAGAGGTAGAACTTTACCCTGGGTCCCCGTTGATAGTTATGTGGCTCTAGCTAGGAAGGTTACGGGGCTGTGTGAATAGGCTGCCAAGCAGATCATTATACAATCAAACAATTTTCACTGCACATTTAAATTCCTTTTGAATTATGGTGATAGTAAAAGGCAGGAAGTCTATATCATTATTTAATTCAGGAAGAAAATATCAACTGCAAAGATGTCATCTAAAGTTCCTATATAACCTACAATTGAGAGTAAGCCTCCTCATTCTGAGGCCTACAAAAATGGGCAGAAAAGCTAGTCTTATATATCATTTTCCATTTAAAATTTGGTATTATTTATTTGTATCCTATTCTAAAAATAATTCATGCTTTACATAGAATGTATAAAATATTCAGGAAAACAATAAGAACAAAACAAAAATTATCCAAACCTCATTATGCAGACATAACCCCTGTTAACATTTTGGTAAATATATTTCCAATATTTTTTGTTCATTTTAATAAGCACAAATGCACATGTTTTCAAATCTCCCCTGTCTATGACAAATCACGTCTGTGAAACTATGGGGTTGGGAGGTTAGGCTTCCATCATTACTCCCCTAACACCCTTGCCCATTCTGTCCTACTTGCTCTCAGATTCAGCCTTTGTTTGTCTACTAGTAATGATAAAATTCCCTTCCCATGAAGTGGCAGAGCTATGAAAGCCTAGTCATGTTTACATCCTTATCAGCACTGACTGTGAACTTTGACAATTAACAATTAGAACACCAAGGAATTTTTGATCAACCAAACCAAATTGCAAAATCCTCTTCAGATAGTGTGGGCAAGCCACAGTTGAAATAGATACAAACAATTCTTACAGCCACTTCAGGCCTATAAAAGGGACCTAATCCTTTATACCACTAAATTCTAATGGGCTTCTGTAAAGATTGTTTTCAATCAAAGCTCCTGAATGAAAGAGCCATTTTTACAAAGAAACTAGCAAATTCTATAAAAGAGATTAAAGAACCTCGGGGAAAATTACTTGTAAAATACAGCCGAATTCTATTAGCTAGTTTCAAATACAAATTAAATAAAAATGACAGTGTTCAAGCAATAAAATAAAACATGTAAAAGAACAAACCTACTGTAGGTAGATTTCCTTCTAAACTGCCAGTTTTAGAAGGATTACAACTTCCAGCAATATCAAAGGATAAAGTCCCTTGTCATACAAGATGAAGGCAAATAAAAAAAGTTCTGGTGTTGTATGTATACAGAAGATTCAGAGTTATGGAGAAGGCTTATGAAAGAGAACAACAATAATCCTGATTACATTTATGTAGTGTTTTATATTTCATAAAACATCCTTTATATGTATATATTGTTTTAATTAATCCCTAGTACGTATTAATAGTGCTATTTTAACAACACTGGGGCTTACAGGAGTTTAGTGGCTTACTCAAGGACAGCCAGGATCTAAACTCAGGGCAATCTAACTAGAAAACCTTGACTCTGAACCACTGTGCAATATTGCCACTAGATTAATTTAAATCCTTATGTTTAATATTTTACCACCAATAATGATTTTTTTATTGCGTTTTACCCCATTGATCCTTTATCCTGAAATGTTTTGCTGATAAAAATTTTGTATTCAGTTTCTAACTTGAGACATATCTACCAGGTTAATGGAATTCTAGCAAAAAGTCAAATTAAAAAAAAATTTGGCCTGCATATTTTATTAACACTAAATAAGACCCATTTGTTGAAATATTTGGGAAAATAAAAATACCTTTTCAAAACTTAGGAAACCTCCAGCACTATTATAATCAGGAACTCTCATTTAGAAGTTAATAATTACTGCATAATTTCCAAAGTGATTTTCAGTTATAATATTCAATGCTATTTATACTCCAAAGAGGTTTAAAAGTTGCCCAAGGTCACACAGCGAGTAATTAAATTTACTTCTATTTGCAAATAATTTTTCCTGTGCTACACTTCTAACTCGTGTCAGCTCATACTAGATTATAGTCTTCCTGGTTTTTTAGTCTCTACCAAATTATTAGAGGAATCCTTCAGAATAGAAATGCATAGCTCCATGAACAATAATTCGTAGAATTCAACCATTTACATTTGTATCTTTAAAGGAATTTTCAGAGATGCTTTGTATCATATGCGATACCAAGAATAATTAGGTACCAGAAAGGTGGAATAAAGCAGGCAGAGTATAAATGAAAAAGAAGATATTATCTTTGTAGTCTGACAGTATTATTATGATGGCTGTCATCGTGAACAAAACCACTATCTCTTTTAATGCTTAAGTTTACGTTTAAATTTATAGGTTTTAAACTCAGTAATTTTCACTAAAAAAAATGACCATGGAATTGAATATACTGTAAATGTAAATGTAATTTTCATGCCCAGGTAAATCCAGGAAATAATTATCAAAGTTCTCACCAAGTTGTAAGTGTGTGTGGCCACGAGTCCAACTAATTATCTTGTTTTATACTTTCATAATGATAGCCATCTTAACCAGGGGACATTGCTAATAATTCATTTTAATATTCTTTTTTTCTCCCATTTCAATGGCAATGTGATTTACATATATGCACATTCATACCTAAACATATAATAATCAGTAATTTGGGTTTATTTTATTTTATTTTTGATATCGTCTATTCTCACTATTAGTTTTATATGGTTGCATGTAGAATCCATTCCATATGCTGGGGAGAAAAAGTGAAAGGTCCTGTGAATCATGATCAGCAAAGAGGAAGAAATCTTTAGTGATTCTCTTACCAGAATGAATAGCAATTGCCAAAGAAGACCAGAAGAAATAGAGCAATAACCACAATCATCACAACTGAAAGAGAGAGAAGAGAAAACGTTGTATCAAGCAAACATACGTAAATGCACCAGACTACTTTGAATTGTCAGTATTTCTTCTAGTTGTGTAATAGTTTTAGGTAGTGAAAATTTGTCCACATATGCTTTAAAAATTTAGAATACATTTTTTTCACACACTAGAGCAGTGTTTTCCAAAATTCAGTCATTGAAATTCCATGATCAAGAATTTTTCAGTATACACAAGTCATCATCATTATTATTTACTTAATATTTAATTAAATTTCTCAAATTATTCTATTAGAAAATGTTATATTATTAATAAGATTTCTAGGTGAAACAGTAAAGTAAAACTTGGCCTTAATACAATGTACCTCTAGAAGCCAACAAATTTGGAAATTCCTAAAGTTTGATACAACATAGAATTAGTTAATTTGAGGATTAGGAGTGACCATGTCACTGCAGATTTTCAGCAAATAATAGAGAACTGCATCACTCATGTAATAACCCCAGATATACAAAACACAACCTCAAACTAAGAATGTATCAGACTCTTCTGTAGAACTGAAATGGCTGTGATCAACTCTGTACTCTCTCACTATCCTGGTTTTTATTTAATATAGAGAGGAAACAGGGCTTTGTCTTGCATCTTAGATACCAACACAGCCACAGTAGAATAGGGCACCAGGCATAGTCATGAAGAACCCATTCCAGGACCTAGATCATGGATGACATTTCTAGACATGCCTTGGGCAAAATGGAACTCATTGCCTTGAAGGGAAGGACCCAGTCCTGGTAGGAGTCATCACCTGCTGACTAAAGAACCTTTTCTTTCTGAATAACTAGAAATGATATCCAGATAGTAGGAAGTGGACTATGGGCTTTAAGACATGCTCACATTAGGTGTGTTCCAGCACATTCCCAGCTCTAGTGGATGTGGTGAAACACTCCTGTTTATGAAAAGCAGAGGGAAATGTATAGAGAACTTGGTGTTGCACATTAGGTACCAGCTCAGTTACAGTTGGGTAGAGCAACAAGCAGGCTCTTGGGTCCCTGAGTCTTTGCTGAGGCTCTTTGACAGCATTTCTGGACCTGCACTGTGCCAGAGTGGAGGCCACTGCCCTGAAGGGTGAGTCCCAGGCCTGGCAGCATTCACCACAAGCTGACTGAAGAGACCTTGGGCTTTAAGTGAACATTGGTAGTATCTTGGCACAACTCACGGTAGTGTGGTGATGGCGATGCCCACAGCAAGAGGATTTTTGCCTGTGGAAAGGGGAGGGAAGAGTAAGAAGGACTTTGTCTTGTGATTCAAGTTCCAGCTTAGCTGTTATAGAATATAACATTGGGCAAATTTCTAAGGTTTTTGACTCCAATCCCTGGTTCCCAGACAGCATCTCTGGACTTGCCCAGGTTTTGTGGGAACTCCTTTTTCCTGAAAGTAAGGACACAAACCTGACTGGCTTCACCACCTGAAGACTGTAGAGCCTTAGGGCCTTGAGTGAACATAGGTGATAGCCAACCAGCAGTTATAGCAGGCCTTAGGCAAGACCCAGTGCTATTCTGGCTTCAGATCTGACCCAGCAAATTACTAGTGTTGGTAACTACATGGGTGCTTGCATCACCACATTCTCAGTTCTATGTGGTTCAACACAGAGAAAAAAAAAATTTGTTTTGGAGAAAGTAATTGGAAGGAAAAAAAGTCTCTGCTTGGTAATCCAGAGAATTCTTCCAGATCATATGAAAGACAACCAAGGCTATACCTCTACAAGTCTATCAAAACCATAGTGTTATTGGGCTTGGGGCCCAAGTACCGTCAACTACTCAGAAAGTCTTCTCAAAAAGGACAGACACGAAAAAACCCAGATTGCAAAGAATACAATATATATCTAACTCTTCAATGCCCAAACACCAATGAACATCTACAAGCATAAACACCATCGAGGAAAACATAACTTCACCAAACCAGGAAAAAGTCCTGGAGAAACAGAGGTATGTGACCTATCAGACAGATAATTCAAACTAACTATTTTGAGGAAATTCAAAGAAATTCAAGACAACACAGAAAAAGAATTCAGAATTCCATCAGATAAATTTAACAAAGATGGAAATATTAAAAAGAATCGAGCAGAAATTCTGGAGTTGAGAAATGCAATTGACGTATTGAATAATGCATCAGAGTCATTTAATAGCAGAATTGATCAAGCAGAGGAAAGAATTAGTGAGCTTGAAGAGAGTCTATTTGGAAAGACGCAGTTAGATGGGGCAAAAGAAAACGACAACAACAATGAATCATGCCTACAGGATCTAGGAAATAGCCTCAAAAGGGCAAATCTAAGAGTTATTGGCCTTAAAAAGGAGGTAGAGAAAGAGACAGGAGTAGAAGGTTTATTCGAAAGGATAGTAACAAACAACTTCTCAAACCTAGAGAATGCTACCAGTATTCAAGTATAAGGAGGTTATAGAACACTGAGCAGATTCAACCCAAATAAAACTCCCTCAAGGCATTTAATAGTCAAACACTAAAAAATCAAGGATAAAAAAAGAATCCTAAAATCAGCAAGAAAAACAACATACAATGGAACTCCAATACGCCTGGCAGCAGACATTTCAGTGGAAACCTTACAGGTCAGGAGAGAGTGGCATGATATATTTAAAGTCCTAAGGGAAAAAAGAGTACTCTAGAATAGTATATCTATGAAAGAGTTAATTTGAGGAATATATACATATATATAGGTATACCTATATATAGAGAGAGAGATAGGAATACCTATATATATATGAATACCTATCTATCTATATATATATATGTATATATGTATATAGGTGTGTTACATAGGTATACATGTGCCATGGTGGTTTGCTGCACCTATCAACCCATCACGTAGGTTTTAAGCCCTGCATCGATCAGGTATTTGTCCTAATGCTCTCCCTCCCCTTATACCCCCACTCCCCAACAGGCCTCAGTGTGTGCTGTTCTCCCCCCTGTGTCCATGTGTTCTCATTATTCAACTCCCACCTATGAGTGAGAATATGTGGTGTTTGGTTTTCTGTTCCTGTGTTAGTTTGCAGAGGATGATGGCTTCCAGCTTCATCCATGTCTCTGCAAAGGACATTATCCCATCTTTTTAATAGCTGCATAGTATTCCATGGTGTATATGTATATTTTCTTTATCTAGTCTAACTTTGATGGACATTTGGGTTGGTTCCATGTCTTTGCTATAGTAAATAGTGCTGCAATAAACATATGTGTGCATGTGTCTTTATAGCAGAATGATTTATATTAATTTGGGTATGTACCCAATAATGGGATTGCTGGGTCAAATGGTATTTCTGGTTCTAGATCCTTAAGAAATTTTCACACTGTCTTCCACAATGGTTGAACTAATTTATGTTCCCACAAACAGTGTAAAAGTGTTCCTATTTTTCCACAGCCTTACCATCATCTATTGTTTCTTAACTTTTTAATAATCATCATTTTGACTGGCATGAGATGGTATCTCATTGTGGTTTTGATTTGCATTTCTCTAATAATCAGTGATGATGAGTTTTTTTAATATGTTTGTTGGCCACATAAATGTCTTCTTTTGAGAAGTATCTGTTCATATTATTTGCCCACTTTTTAATGGGGTTGTTTTTTTTTTCTTGTAAATTTATTTAAGATCCTTGTAGATTCTGGATATTAGCCCTTTGTCAGATGGGTAGATTGCAAAAATTTTCTCCCATTTTGTAGGTTGCCTGTTTACTCTGATGATTGCTTCTTTTGCTTTGCAGAAGCTCTTTAGTTCAGTTAGATCCCATTTGTCAATTTTGGCTTTGTTGAAATTGCTTTTGGTGTTTTTGTCATGAAGTCTTTGCCCATGCCTATGTCCTGAATGGTATTGCCTAGGTATTCTTCTAGGGTTTTTATGGTTTTGGGTTTTAAATTTAAGTCTTTAATCCATCTTGAGTTAATTTTTGCATAAGTTGTAATGAAGGGGTACAGTTTGAGTTTTCTCCATATGGCTAGCCAGTTCTCCCAGCACCATTTATTAAATAGGAAATCCTTTCCCTATTTCTTGTTTTTGTCAGGTTTGTTGAAGATCATATGGTTGTAGATGTGTGGTGTCATTTCTGAGGTTTCTGTTCTGTTCCATTCATCTATATGTCTGTTTTGATACCAGTACCATGCTGTTTTGGTTACTGTAGCATTGTAGTATAGCTTGAAGTCAGGTAGTGTGATGTCTCCAGCTTTGTTCTTGTTGCTTAGGATTGTTTTGGCTATATGAGCTCTTTTTTGTTCCATATGAAATTTAAAGTAGTTTATTCTAAATCTGTGAAGAATATCAATGGTAGTTTGATGGGAATAACATTGAATCTATAAATTACTTTGGGTGGTAGGGCCATTTTCACAATATTGATTCTTATTATCTTTGAGCATGGAATGTTTTTCCATTTGTTTGTGTCCTCTCTTATTTCCTTGAGCAGTGGTTTGTAGTTTTCCTTGAAGAGGTCCTTCATGTCTCTTGTAAACTCTATTCCTAGGCAGTTTATTCTCTTTGTAGCAATTGTGAATGGGAGTTCATTCATGATTTGGCTCTCTTATTGTCTATCATTGGTGTATATGAATGCTTGTGATTTTTGCATACTGATTTTGTATTCTGAGATTTTGCTGAAGTTGTTTATCAGCTTAAGGTGTTTTTAGGCTGTGATGATGGGGTTTTCTAAATATAAAATCATGTCATCTGCAAACACAGACAATTTGACTTTGTCTCTTCCCATTTGAATACAGTTTATTTCTTTTTCTTGCCTGATTCCCCTGGCCAGAACTTCCAATCCTATGTTGAATAGGAGTGGTGAGAGAGGGTATCCTTGTCTTGTGCTGGTTTTCAAAGGGAATGCTTCCAGCTTTTGCACATTCAGTGTGATATTGCCTATGGGTTTGTCATAAGTAGCTCTTATTATTTAGAGATATGTTCCACCAATACCTAGTTTATTGAGAGATTTTAACATGAAGGAGTTTTATCAAAAGGTTTTTCTGCATCCCTTGAGATAATCATGCGGTTTTTGTCATTTTTTTTCTGTTTATGTGACATATTATGTTTATTGATTTGCGTATGTTGAACCAGCTTTGCACCCCAGGATGAAGCTGACTTGATTGTGATGGATAAGCTTTTTGATGTGCTGCAGGATTTGGTTTGCCAGTATTCTACTGAGGATTTTCTCATCAATGATCATCAGAAATATTGACCAGAAGTTTTCTTTTGTTGTGTCTCTGCCAGGTTTTGGTATCAGGATGATGCTGGATTCATAAAATGAGTTAGGGAGGAGTCCCTCCTTTTAAATTGTTTGGAATAGTTTCAGAAAGAATGGTACCAGATCCTCTTTGTACCCCTGGTAGAATTAGGCTGTGAATCCATCTGGTCCTGGGCTTCTTTTGGTTGGTAGGCTATTAATTATGGCCTCTATTTCAGAACTTGTTATTGGTCTATTCAGGGATTTCATTTCTTCCTGGTTTAGTCTTGAGAGGGTGTATGTGTCTAGGAATTTATCCATTTCTTCCAGATTTTCTAGTTTATTTTAAAGCAAGTACTATTACAGCTAAAGAGAGAGATAGATGTCAGTTCAATAATAGCTGGAGATGCCAACACCCCCCTTTCAGCATTGAACAGATCTTTCAGACAGAAGCTCAACAAAGAAACATTTGACTTAACCTGAACTATAGAACAAATGGATCTGATAAATATTTATAGAACATGTAATCCAACAGCTGCAGAATATACATTCTTCTCATCACGTGGATCATTCTCAATGATAGACCGTATGTTTGGTAACAGACAAGTCTTAAGATATTAAAAGATTAAAATAATATCAAGCATCTTCTCTGATCATCGTGGAATAAAACTGTAAATCAATAACAGGAAAAATTTTGAAAACTACGCAAACACATGGAAACTAAACAATGTGCTCCTGAGTGAACTGTGGGTCAATTAAGAAAGTAAAAATGAAATTGAAAAATTTCTTGAAACAAATGATAATAGAATCACAACATACTGAAATTTATGGAATACAGTGAAGGCAATATTAAGAGAAAAATATATCGCTATAAGAACCTACATCAAGAAAGAAGAAAAGCTATAAATAAACAACTTAATGATAAATCTTGAAGAACTAGAAAAGCAAGAGCAAACGTAACCCAGCATTAGTGGAATAAAATAAATAACAAAGATCAGAGCAGAAATAAATGTATTTGAAATGAAGAAAATAATACAAAAGGTCAATGAGACATAAAGTTGGTTTTTTGAGAACAAAATTGACAAACCCTTAGCTGGACTAATGAAGAAAATAGGGGAGGAGATCCAAGTAAATAAAATCAGAAACAAGAAAGGAGATATTACAACTGATACTGGAGAAATTCAAAGGATCATTAGTGGCTACTATGAGCAACTATATGCCAGTAAGTTGTAAAATCTAGAGGAAATGGATAAATTTTTACACAAATACAACCTACCAAGATTGAACCATGAAGAAATCCAAAACTTTAACAGATCAAGAATAAGTAAACAGATCTAAGATGTAATTGAAAGTGTCCCAGAAAAATGAAGCCTGGGACCTGATGGCTTCACTACTGAATTACACCAAATTTTTAAAGAAGAGAAAATACCAATCCTACTAAAACTATTCTGAAAAATAGAAGAGGAGGTAGCACTTCCAAACCTATTCCATTAAGCCAGTATTATCTTGATAACAAAATCAGACAAAAAACACATAAAAAATTACAGGCCCATATCACTGATTAATATTGGTGCAAAAATCCTCAACAAAATAGCAGCAAATCAAATTCAAAAAAACACATTAAGAAGATTATTGATCATGACCAAATGAGATTTATCCCTGTGATGCAAGGATGGTTCAGCATATGCAAATCAATCAATGCGCTACTTAATACGAACAGAATTAAGGAAAAAACCCATATGATCATTTCAATGATGTTGTAAAAGCATTTGATAAAATTTAACATCACTTCATGAAAAAACTCTAAAAAATCTGGGTATAAAAGGATTATACCTCAACATAATAAAAGCCATATATGACAGAGCCACAGCTAGTATAATGCTAAATGGGAATAAACTGACAGCTTTTACTGTAATATCTGGAACTCATCAAGAATTCCCACTTTCACTACTGT
The DNA here is from genome assembly GCF_000001405.40 of Homo sapiens. Taxonomy (NCBI): domain Eukaryota; kingdom Metazoa; phylum Chordata; class Mammalia; order Primates; family Hominidae; genus Homo; species Homo sapiens. The sequence continues at coordinate 82,324,490 of NC_000023.11, read as the reverse complement.
TATCCAACATAGTACTGGAAGTCCTAGCTAGAACAATTAATGAAAAGAAAGTAACATAGGGCATCCAAATTGGAACAAATAAGTGAAATTATTCTTGTTTTCATATGATATAATCTTATATTTGAAAAAAAAAAGCTAAAGACTCCACAAAAAACTATTAAAACTGATATACAAATTCAGTGAAATTACAGCATAAAACAGCAACATACAAAAATCATCAGTGCTTCTATATGTCAACAGCAAACAATCTGAGAAACAAAGAAAAAAGTAATCCCATTTATAATAGTCACAAATAAAATAAAATACCTAGGAAATATCTTAACCAAGGGAGTGAAATATCTCTACAATAAAAACTATAAATCATTGATAAGAATAATTTGATGATAGCTCATAAAAAAACTGTAAAGATATTCCATGTTCATGGATTGGAAGCGATCTAAAGATTCAATGCAATCCCCATCAAAATACAAATGATTTTCCTCACAGAAATAGAAAAGCAATCCTAAAATTTATATGGCACCACAACAGACCCAGAGTAGCCAAGGGTATCTTGAACAAAGAGAACAAAATGGGCAAAATTACATTACCTGACTTCAAATTATACTACAAAGCTATAGGAAAAAAAAAAGCAGCACAGTACTGGCATAAAATACAGACGCATAGGCCAGTTAAACAAAATAGACAGCCCAGAAATAAGTCCACACACCTAGAGTGAACTCATTTTCAAAAAAGGTGCCAAGAACACACACTGGGGAAAAGACAATTTTTTCAATCAGTGGTTCTGGGAATATTGAATATCCACATGCAGGTTTATGAAATTAGACGATTATCCTTTGCCATACAGAAAAATCAAGTCGAAATGAATTAAAGACTTAAATATAAGACGTCAAACTATGAAACTATTAAAAGAAAACATGGGACAAATTCTCTAAGAATTGGTCTTGGCAAAAATTTATTGAGTAATACTCCACAAGCATAGGCAACCAAAAAAAAAGATAACTGGAATCACATGAAGTTAGAAAGCTTCTGCACAGCAAATGAAGCAATCAGCAAAGTGAAGAAACAACCAACAGAACTGGAAAAAAAATTGCAAACTACCTATCTGACAAGGGACTAATAACCAGAATGTATAAGCAGCTCAAACAAATCTATGGCAATAAATCTAATAATCCAATTCAAAATGAGTAAAATATCTGAATAGGTATTTCTCAAAAGAAGACAAACAGGCACATGAAAAGGTGATTAAAGTCACTGATCATCAGATAAATGCAAATCAAAACTACAATGAGATATCACCTCGTTTAAAATGGCTTGTATCCAAAAGACAGGCAATAAGAAATGCTGGCAAGGATGTGGAGAAAAGGGAACCCTCGTACACTGTTGATGTGAATGTAAATTAGTACAAACTCTATGGAGAATAGTTGGGAGGTTCCTCAAAAAACTAAAAATTGAATTAATATATGATCCAGTAATCTCACTGCTGGATATATACCCAAAAGAAAGGAAATCAGTATATCAAAGAGATGTCTGCACTCTCATGTTTGTTGCACTACTGTTCACAACAGTCAAGATTTGGGAGCAACCTAAGTGTCATCAACAAATGAATGGGTAAAGAAAGTGTGGTACTTATACACAATGGAGTACTATTCATATAATATATCATGCCAATTCTTCTCAAATTGATTCATAGGTTTAATTAAATTCTCATCAAAACTAACAAAGACTTTTGTAGACATAGACAAACTTCTAACATTTATAAGAAAAGTTTTAGGCATTAGGATAGTCAAAAACATTTTTAAAAAGAACAATATAGTCAGAAGAATCACTCCACTAGATAGTAAATCCTTCTATATAGTTAGGCTAATTAAGATAGTGTGATATTGGTGGAGAAATAGTCACAAAAATCAATGAAACAGAGATATCAATGGAACCGAGTAAAAAAGCCAGAAACAGATTCATAGAAATACTCAACTGATTTGTGGCAAAGGTTTAGAATCAACACAATGGAGAAAGTGTAGACTTTTCAACAAATGGGACTAGGGCAATTGGCCATCCATAGGCAAAACAAACAAACAAACAAAAAGTCATAAACTTTGACCTAAGTCTCACATTTTTTACAAAAAATAACTTAAACTAGATCACACATGAATATAATACTATAAAACTTATTTTGAAATAAATGAGATAAATTTAAATTTTTAATGCTTAGGAGAATAGTTTTTTGACTTAATACCAAAAGTAAAACCCTATTAATGAAAGTTATATTTTATCCCACAAAAATTAAAAACATTGTTCTGTAAAAGACTCTATGAAGAGGATGAAAAGACAAGATACAGACTGGGAGAAAATATTTGGAAATCACATATCCAACAAAGAATGATTATCTAGAGTGTATAAAAAGTCTCAAAACTCAACAGTTTAAAACAAACAATCCAATTACAAAATGAGCAAGAGTCATGAAGAGACATTTCACTTAAGAGTGTGTACAAAGCCCCAAAATTAATTATACCTTACCGTTTCTCAGAGAAGATACATTGGATATACCCCAGTTTTTTTTAATCTTAAAAATTGTTTTCTAAAAATCTAAATCTGGCATCAAGCAAATCAATTTTCTATCAGTTCCAATGGGGCCTAAAACAATTGAAAGATAATTTTTTTTTTTTTTCACTTTTGGCAGATCTCCTGACAACAGGAAGCCCTTTAGAGTGAGGCATGAGTCCCTTTCTCAAAAGTCACTTTTACCTAAGAAAAAAGAATGACTCTATAAAGCAAAATAGCAGACCAATAGGAACAAGTTTACCTTGCTGAAAAAGGAAGTAACAAAATTCCTAGGGTAAAAACGAAAATTATAAGATCTAGAAGACATCTATTGCTTTATAGAAACCTCCATCTCATCATATAAAGAAGCTAAAATCACCTTGTAAAATTAAATTATTTGCCAACAGTAAATACATATTTAGCTCTCTAAATATGTGTGTTTTGTTTTGAAAACTGTCCACTGGCAATGATATAATTGTTAAGGTTTTCAAATAAAATAAAACTATGGACAGCATAGCTATTCAGAGCGTGAGCCACAGCTCCAGATATTGCTGTTCACTTAGTGGCAATTTATATGGATTAAAAGAATAATATCTAGGGGGAAAATGGACCTACGGAAGATAGTTTCTCACACTCAAACTGAAAATGTGTTGGAAAAGTTTATATTTTTCAACTAGGTGCATTACATCTTCTAAATTATATTGAATAAAAATAAATTGTATAATGTTTTACTTTAGTTATCATTGTAACAGTATAGTCAAATAAGGACAAATGTGTGATAGATGAAATACATCATTATAAATGAAGATATATTACTAAGCTGATTTTGAAAGATACAGGGAGGATTAAAAAACATACCCACTCAGATGTGAGCCAGATGGAATCCCCAAGCTTTAACTCAAAAAATCTTATGCCCTTGTGTTAATGATAGTTTTTCCACATTGATCTCAGAGACTCTTCCTACCTACCAACAATAGAATTCGAAACCTTGAAAGAAAATGTTTGAATTAAGTGGTTCCAATGAGTAAGAGCTCTTGGATCCAAACTGCCTAAGCCCCTCAGCCTGGAAAACTAGACAGCAGCCTTTGTGAGGAGATCTCTTTACTAATAATTAACAGAAAGGACTGCAATCAAGTCAGAAAACCTCTCACAGCTCCAGTGTCACTGAAAGGGCACTTTAGCACTGTTTTACCTAGTAGACTAGTGAAATGGAAATTTGTAGGTTATGAGATCAGCACTACCTTAAGTGGATCCTGTATTGTTGGGTTTACAAGAGTAGTTTTATTAGCTTTTTCTCCTTGCAATTTCCAGCTAATGTTGCATGATCAGATTACGGTAGCAGGAAAGCACTACATTTAAAGAACCTTTGTAGGTAGAGAACTTGCTGGATTTTCTCAATAGATTGAACACAAAATATAACCTTTCTGCCTAATAAAAGCTTTATTGATGCAAATGTCTACTTTCAAGGATTTCTGAAGCAGGTTTAGCATGAGCAAATTTGTGAATAGAAAACTTTTGTTTTCGGTGGCTTACAACCCGTCCTTCAGTGCCCCTTTGTGCCTTTTCTCAATCCCTATCAACCCACCCACCAAGAACTTAAAGCCTTCATTCTATTTTCCAGCTGTTCAGGACTTCCCATGGCCCAGTCACCTAAGCTTTCTCTTCTCACTAAACAATTTGCATTCTGGACATTTCACTGTTTCAATTGCCCCACTTCAATCAAATTTCATCTGCTCTATGTCCTCTTTCTTTCTGAACCAATCTCTACTAATTTGATAAACTTATTTGAGTACTATATAGTACTGTGACAGGTGGAAGTAAAATAATTGTAATTGAACAAGGCTTTTATGGAGGTTAAATGTTTAAAACATAAAAATATTTTAAAGGAAACAAACTAATGTAGAAAATAGTTAGCATAAGGGCAAGCTCTTTAGTGTCCTTCAAAGCACATATGTAAATAGCTGCCTGTGTACTAACATATCACCAATAGTTATTTAATACTATGATATTTTCAACTGCTTAATGTTTCCAAAGCAATGATTGTCTTCACTGCCATACTTTGTTTTAATTTACAAAGTCTGTAAATTAAAACTACTACTCAGAGAAGAAGAAAATAGCTAAGCGATTTATAAGAACAAAGCAGATTTATAGAACACAATGATGACCAAAAAGGACAACCCATGCAGTTGTCAGATAATACTATCACTACTTTAGGGTTTACAGAATATGTTCATATTCATTTCATATGATCATCACAGCAATCCCATGATATAAATATTTATACATACGTGTATATATATGACTTTATATTATCCTAATATATACAAGATTGTTGCATAATTTTGCAGATGAGGAAACAAACCTGAGAGAGGTTAACTTGTTCAAGATGTCATATGGAGGTAGTAACATAAGATTTCTGACTCACACTTTGATATTTTCTCTACTGTAATTATATTCCTGGCTTCTTAAAGTTTCCTAAGCCAGGTATTGATTTCTACTTGCCTTGGAAACTTTTCACTGCCAGTACTCCTTCTATCAATGATAAAGAAAAACAAATAATCAAATTCATGACATTTTATTATTCTTTATTTTTTATAAGTCATTCTCTTAGTAATAATTGTTACAGTCACAGATAATGCTAATAATTCCCACATTCACATTAAACTTGATCAGCAACTGCAGGCCCTATAAACAGAGGCTCATTTTCTTGTTGGAATCTTAGATACTCTCTCTTATTTTCCCCAAGTCAAAATTATTTTCCTCAAAAGACAATTACTTAACAGTGTGGCTCTTGGGTTTGACTAAAATCTCTTCTTACTCTCCTTTCTTTAGCACAGTTTGTTCTTATAATCAAATCTTTATTTGCATCCTATGTCAATTGGAACCTCAGGAAAGTAGATGTTGACATGAAGCTAGTAATGTGAGAGTTTTATTTGGTACACTGCTTATGAAAGACAAAATGGGGAGGGAGTCTTTAGTCTAATCTGACTCCTGTGAAATAAAAAGGGGAAGGAATATGTTTGGACAGGAAGATCATCATATCATCATACAGGTCTGACATCTTCATCAATCCAATGGGCAAACTCAGAGTAAAATAATTTGTTAGAGAATTCCAAATTAGGTACCTCTGTCATGCTCAGTCTTTGGCTGAGACTGTCTGGGAAGGACATAACTTGTTTGTAAAGCAAAAATGAAACCTGAAGTTGATAGCTAACTTCACTCCTTGTATATGTACAGTAAGGTATTTCTTTGAGGTAGATCCAGGTGGTACTATGCCTACCACAACTCTACAAGGTCTTCACAACTTTATTTCCCTCCTCTATCTATCACTATCCTTTTTAAGAAAGGAAGTTTGAATAAGCCCAAGAAACACCAACAGGTGCCAATCTTAAGTTGTAAATGGAAAGTAATTATTTTAGGGGTGATAAAGGAATGTTAGGGAGATTTCTTAAGATACTTGTCTTGTAGGTTAAATTAGATTTATGAGGCTCTTGGAACCAGTTATATAGAAACAAATATTACACCTGATATTGAGCAGGATATGTTACAAATGCTTCATAATAATAATTGCTACTGGCATGCAGTTTATGATGGGTTGGAGGTAAATAAAATGAAGTTAAAATGATCATTGAGAATGCTACTCTAACAGGAATGCAGTCATAAAAAATTTGGGCCTAGATAAGCATGATATAGATGAGGGCAATCACTGATCAAGGTGGGAGATTAAAAAGGTGTACAATTAGAATCAAGGAGGGTTCAAACCCCTCCCTCACCAAAGGTGAGTGTGTATGTAAAAAAAACATCAAATTTATGTAAAATCACATAAAAGTGTAGAAGATAATTTTCAAATAAAATATAATAGTAGTTGAGTCATAACATACAAGTGTAAAATAGTTTGAACGTCCATATCAAACAGTACAATGGGAGCTCAGCTGAACTAAAATCTTTCTTGGCTCCTATAAGATACCATCCCCCCCATATCATCCCAAAGCAGCAGCTTCTGCAAGTGTCTTTGGAAATTACAGACCATGTGACTTAACATGGTATAGAATAAAATAGTAAATGTTTAACAATGTACCAAATACTTGCCATGTGTTTGTGAGCACTTCTGACATGAAAGGAAATGAAAAGTCACATATTCAATACATCAATCATTCATACATTTCACAAATGTTTATTGAGTCTACAGTGTATGTGAGGCATTGAAGAGGATCAGAGATGAGTGATGCTCTGTCACCTAAGTAAGTTACTTTTTAGCAAGAAAGATAAGGCAAGGAAACGCAAATCATGAAACTATTTCAAATATAGTCGGGGATATATAGGAATGGATAAGAACATTTGCTAAAAAGCAAAGCTGAGGGGTACTAAAGTTTTTCTAAATTTTCAGATATTACCGTATATCAATAAAGTATATACCTTGTTTCAATATTAACAATAATTTACATAAATATATTTCATATATACTGTTATTTTTGTGTAATATAAGTATGCTAATTGTACTACAGCTAAAAGTACAAATTCAATAGGATGGGATAACATCTTAAATTTCAGTAATTAGTGGGCTTCATTTTTTTGTGCTTGTTTTGCTTCTTTATAATTTATTTCAAATTTTCACTATTTCTGACTTACAGCTGTAAGCCCTTTACCTCTCCTTGTCATTACTTTATAGAATGGCTGATTCTCCTCTATGCAAAGCATTCCCCTGCCTCTTACGTACTTGTTTCAATGGTAGCCATTGTATAATCCATTACACTCCCTACTCCACCATACTCCAAAACCTGATCTAACCCTGAAGTGCTCTCCCATCTAGAGAGCTAGGTACTGGAGCCAGAACTTTAGAAGTAAATTATTGAAGATTAAATGTTCATTTTAACCTTTTCCAGCTCCATCATCATTACAGACTAGAACACAGAGCTCTGCTCCTCAATTTATGGGCTCTGTGACCACCCCAGTTTTCTACCTTTTGTGCATTGTAACACAGACACCCAATCTAATCTCCTAAAACCTCTGCCACTCATTTCTCCTGTATAATGGCCTACCCCCTTTCTCTCTCTATTACCTCTCACCCACCTCAGAATTCCACTTCTTCAACACACCCTCTTCTCAGCTCTGATTTTAGGTCTCCCCGACACCTATCACCAAAATCCAATTTATAGAGGCTTCTCTGATTTCCATCAAGGGGCAGGCAAAAACTGAATTCTCTCAGAGAGGCCTGAAGTCTATTCTTACTTGCCAGACCCAGCCTCACTTCAACTTACATCTAACCCAAGTCAACTTCAGCTTTAATGAGCTCCTCACGGCAAGGGCATGGTGATGGGATTGATAAAGAATGAGCCAGTCTAGCTTGGTATAGTCAGAGAGAGTTGAACTTGAATCCTGCTGTCTCCAAAGAAATGACTTTCTTCTCTGAGCCTCAGTTGCTCATTCTGCAAATAGGATAATGAAAATAACTACCTCATGGTATAATTTATTTATTTAAATATATATGTATATAATAAAATCACATTTTTTCTTCTTTGATGTAGAAATATGTGAGTGTTTGTTTCAGCTTTTTACCTATATTATGATTATGTCTTGTTTATTTGCTTCTTGTTATTCTCAGAGTTCTTTATTCTTCTAGGTATTAAAAACTTTGCTGGATAAGTGGCTTATAAATATTTTCTCCCAGTATATTGTTTGTCTTTTCAGTCACTTCACAGTTGTATTTATAAAGTAAACATTTTTAATGTTTGTCGTGTTAAGATTTATCATTTTTTCCTTAGCTACTATTTTTGTTGTTACCTATGAACTCTTTACTTAACCTCAAGTCACAAATATTTGCTCCTATATTTTCTTGTATCAGTTTTGTAGGTTTACATCTTATATGCAGATCTATGACCTATTCTAAGTTCATTTTTGATATGGAGTGAGGCTTTAATCAATTTTTATATTTTTCATATAAATGTCCAGTTGCTCCAAAATTGTTTGTCAAGAAATGTATCCTTCTTTATTAAATTTGTTTTGTACTCTTGTTAAATTCAGATAAACATATTTATGTAGATCTATTTTGGACAACATTCTGTTCAATTTATCTTTGTGTCTATCTTTATCTGCTACCATGCTGCTTTGAATAGCTTTACAGTAAATCTTAAAATCAAGTAATATGAGCCCATCAACTTTTTCTTTCCTTTAAAAAAATCTTTTGATATTCTAGGCTTATTTTTGTTTGCTTTTTTGTTGTTTGTTTTGTTGTAGGTGTTCTTTACCAAACTGCCAAATTGAAGGAGCTCCAGACTATTTCAAATTCACTGGTAATTGTGGTAAATTGTGGTGCTTTGTGTGTGTGTGTGTATGTGTGTGTGTGTGTGTGTGTGACAAGGTCTCACTCTGTCACCAGGGCTTCAGTATAGTGGTGCAATCATGTCTTCCCGCAGCCTCAAACACCTTGGAAAATCACAAACATGTTGAAAATAAGCAACATACTTCTGAATAACCAATGGGTCAAGAAAATGAGAAAAATTTTGAAATACATTGAAATGATTTAAAAGGTAGACACAACATACAGAAACATACAATTACTATAGCTTTGTATTATATTTTGATGTCAGGTAGTATGATGCCTTCCAGATTTTTGCTCAGGCTTGCTTTGGCTATTCGGATCTTTTGTGGTTCCATATACACTTTAGAATTTTTTTCTATTTCTTTGAAGGATGTCATTGGTATTTTGATAGGGATTTCATTAAATCTGTAATTGCTTTGGGTAGAATTATCATTTTAATAAAATTAATTTTTCTAATCCATGAGTGTGGGATATTCTTCTATTTTTGTGAAAATCCTTTTCGATTTATTTCATCAATGTTATATTGATTTCCTTGCATAGATCTTTCACACCTTTAGTTAAATTGACCAGGTGTTATATATTCTTTGTAGCTACTACAAGTGTGATTACTTTTTAATTTATTTTTCAGATTGCTTGCTGTTAGCATATATAAATTCTACTGCTTTTGGTATGTTCATTTTGTATTGTGAAACTTTGTTGAATTTGTTTATCAGTTTTAACAGCTTTTTGGTGAAGTCTTTAGGATTTTCTACATGTAAGATTATGTCCCCTGCATACAAGGCTATTTTGACTTCTTCCTTTCCAATTTGGATGCCTTTTATTTCTTCCTCATGACTAATTGCTCTGGCTAGGACTTCCAGTATTGTGATGAATAAAAGTGGTAAAAGTGGGCATCATTGTCTTGTTTAAAATTGTAGTGGACAGGCTTTAAAGTCAGCATGGTACTGGCATTAAAACAGACATGTAGACCAATTGAACAGAATAAAGAACACAGGTATAAATCTACGCATTTATAGCCAATTCATTTTTGGCAAAGGCACCAGGAACATACAAGGGGAAAGAATAGTCTCTTTGATAGATGCTTCCTGGAAAAGTGGATAAAAATATGCAGACGAATGAAACTAGATCAGTATTTATCACTATATACAAAAAAAATCAAAATGGATTAAAGACTTACATCTAAGAACTGAAACTATGATACTACTAGAAGAAAATTTGGGGAAAATCTTCCAGAACATTGGTCTGTGCAAAGATTTTTTTTGTGTAAGATCTCAAACGCAGAGGTAGTCAAAGCAAAAATAGATAAGTGGGGTTATATTAATCTAAAAAGCTTCTGCAGGGCAAAGAAAACAATCAAGAAAGTGAAGAGAAAACAAAGAATGAGGAAAAATATTTGCAAACTACCCAACTGTCAAAGGATTAATAATCAGAATATATAAGGAGCTCAAATAACTCAACAGAAAAAAAACAAATAATCCAATTTAAAAATGGGCAAAATATCTGAATAAAAGTTTCTCAAAAGAATATATAAATATGGCTGACAGTTATATGAAAAACCGTTCAACATCACTAATCATCAGAAAAATGCAAATCAAACATCAGTGAGATATCATCTCACCCCAGTTCGAATGGATTTTATCAAAAAGACAGGGAATAACCGCTGCTGGCAAGGATGTGGGTAAAGGAGAACTCTCCTACACTATTTGTGGGAATGTAAATTATTACAGCCACTATGGAAAAAAAGTATACAGGTGTCTCAAAAAAGTAAAAATAGACCTACCATATGTTTCAGCAATTCTACTCCTGAGTATAGATCCAATGAAAGAGAATCAATACATATAAAATATATCTGCATTTCTACATTTACTGCAGCACTGCTGACAATAGCCAAAATATGGAATCAACCTACATGTTTATCAGAGGATAAATTAATAAAGAAAATATGGCATATATACAAAATGAAATATTATTCAGCTATAAAAGGAAATACAATTCTGTTATTTGAAACAATATGGATGAAACTGGAGGTCATTAAGTGAAACAAAGTACAGAAATACAAAAATCTCATATTCAGTGGCCTTCATATGTGGAACATTAAAAGGTCGATCTCATGATGACCCAGAGGAGACTACTTGTTATAAGAGACCAGGAAGTGTAAGCGGAGGAGGAGAGGAGAAGAGAAGTCGATTACTGGGTACAAATATGTTGTTAGCTAGAAGAAATACGGCCTGATGTTTGGTAGATTGGTAGAGTGACTATTGTGAAAATTAATTGATTGTAGATTTCAAAATAGCTAAAACAGAATGATTCAAATGTTATTAACTTAAAGAAAAAAATAAATATTTGATTTGATGGATATCCAAATTACCCTGATTACTTTAATTTGTTTATTGAATACATAAAATTATCACATGTACCCCTGAAATATGTATATCTAATATGTAGCAATAAAAATAAGTAAAAGTAAATAAAATTTTAAAAATATATGGGATACAGCTAAAGTAGTGCTTAAGGGAAAACATACATATTCATTTAAAAAGTTATAGCTTGCTCTAACAATAAAGACAAATATCAAATAATAAACTATAATTTTCATTCAAACACAGTGAAAAATAAATGAATACTAAACCCAAAGCCAACAGAAGGAAGAAAACAATAAAGACTATAGTAGGAATAAATGAAATATCTACTAGAAACACAATAGAGGAAATTAATAAAACCAAAATTTTATTCTCAGTAATAATTAATAAAGTGACAAAACTTTAATAGTCTGTCCAGGAAATAAAAGAGAAAAGCAATATTACTAAAATCTGGAGCAAAATAGTTAGCATCACTACCAACTGTACAGACCAAAAGGATTTTAACTGAGTACCATAAACAGCTGTATGACAACAAATTAGATAACTTTCAGGAAATTGACAAATCTCTACAAAGAAACAAAAATAATGAAACTTGCCAAGGAGAAGCAGAATATCAAGAAGATCTACATTAAGTAAAGAGATTTAATTAGTAATTTAAAAAACTACACATGAAAGCTCAGATGCCTTTACTGATGAATTATATCAAATGTTGAAGGAATAACTAACACCAACTCTTCACAATCTCTTCAAAGAAATAGAAAACACCTCCTAACTTATTTTATGAGATGAATATCTGTGACATCAAATCCAGATAAAGATATCACAAGATAACTAGAGAATCTACCTTCTGAATATAGATGTTAATATTGCAGAAAAAATATTAGCAAACTGAATCAAGCATCATGTTAAAAAGATTAAACATCATGATTAAGTAGTATTAATCCAAGAAACATAAGGTTTAACACAAAAATTAAGTATTATAATTATCAGTATTAATAGAATTGAAGATAATATCTACATTTTTATGTCAGAGACAAAAGAAAGGCATTTGACAATATGCCATAACATTTTATATTAAAAATCAACAAACTCAGAATATAAGGGAACTTTCTTAAGCTCACAATGTACATACAAGAAAATCTCACAGCTAGTAGAATTGTTGATAACTGATACCCTAATATCTGAAACTAGAAAATGATACGTGCTCTACCCACATATATTTCACATTGTACTGGATGTTCTGACCAGGGGAATTAGACAAGAAAATAAATAGACAATATCTCTATATTGTAAAGGAAGGAATAAAATTCTCTTCGTTTTAAGATGACATGAACTTATTTGCTGGAAACCGTACAGAGTCTACAAAAAACATAGATTTAATAATGAATTAAGCAAAGTTGCAGGACACAAATTAACACATAAAATTCAGTTGTGTATTCACAAATTAATATGTATAATCTGAAAAAGAAATCAAAGAGAACATAATACTTAGAAATAAGTTTATCAAGATGTGCAAACTTTTGCCATGAACGTTTTTAAAGAATTGTTGAAATAAATTTAAAAAGACCACAAAAATGGAAAGATATCCGAAGTTCATGAATATAAGGTTTAACATAAAAATGACAATACTTCCCAAATTGATCTAAAGATTCAATGCAATCCCTATGAAAAATCTCAGTTCATTCTTTCCCAAAGTTGAAAACTTGATCCTAAAATTGATATAAAATGTATTAGACTCACACTACCCAAAACAATCTTGAAGAAGATCAAAGTTGGAGGACTAACACTCTACAATTTCAAAACTTAATACAAAGCAACAGTAATCAAGACAGTGTGGTGCTGATTCAAGGACACACGTAGAGGTCAGTGCAATATAATTGACTGTCCAATATAAACCTGTACAATTTACAATAAATTGATTTTTTCAATAAGAGTGTCAAGAAAATTCAATGGGGGAAATAATTGTCTTTACAACAAAAAATATTAGGACAACTGAATACTTACCTACATGCACATAATGAAGTTGGACCCTATGCTAACACCATATACAAAATTTAATTCACAATAGATCAAAGACATAAATGTAATAACTAATAACTAAAAGTATTACAATCTAAGAAGATACTTTCTGACTTTAGATCAGGTAATGTTTTTAGATATGACACCAAAAACCTAAGCAACAAAAAACTAAATAGACAAATTGGACATTGTCAAAATTAACAGTTTTGTTTTTTGTTTTTCAAAGGACACAATCAATAAAGTAAAAAGATAACCCACAGAATGGGAGAGAATATGCAAATTATATATCTGATAAGGAAACTGTATCTACACTGTAAAAGAAACTCCAACAATGTTGGGAGATGTTTAAAAACAAAGAACAGCAAAGCATATCAGTATTTGTAATGCTGTGATGGCACTGTGATCCTCACACTGGCAGCTTTTGTAACTAAAATGACCAAGCCATCACTACCTTCAGTCCTCAAGAGAGGGAGATACTCTGCTCCTCTAGCTCCAAGAAGGAGCCATTGTCGTTTCACCTCAGGATGGCTTCCACTAACTTCAACCATGCCCATTCCAGAATGTAGCTCTACAGCTGTTCTATGAGTAATTTCACCACAGACACTGGAACCATCACTGCATCAAGCCTAAAAGTTCAGAAAATTTGCAGCCTGAAGATGCAGTAGAAAAGAAAAACCCATTTTTTCAAGGAGAAATTCAAACTGGCTGCTGAAATTTGCATAAGTAGTAAGGAGCCTAATGTTAATCCCCAAGGCCATGAGGAAAATGTCTCCAGGCCATGTCAGAGACCTTCACGGCAGCCCCTCCCATCACAGGTCTGGAGGCCCAGGAGGAAAAATGGTTTTGTAGGCCAGGCCCAGAGTCTTTGTTCTATGCAGCCTAGGGACTGGGTGCCGTGTGTCCCATCTGCTCCAGCTGTGGCTGAAAGGGGCCAATGTAGAGCTCAAGCTGTGGCTTCAGAGGGTGGAAACCCAAAGCTTTGGCAGATTCCACATGGTGTTGAGCCTGCGGGTACACAGAAGTCAAGAATTGAGGCTTTGAAACTTCCACCTAGATTTCAGGAGATGTAAGGAAATGTCTGGGTGCCCAGGCAAATATTTGCTGCAGGAATGGTGCCCTCATGAAGAACTGCTGCTAGGGCAGGGCAGAAGGGAATTGTGGGTTGGGAGCCCCCACACAGAGTTCCTACTAGGGCACCATCTAGTGAAGCTATGAGAAGAGGACCACCATCTTTCAGACCCCAGAATGGTAGATTCATTTACAGCTTGCACTGTGCATCTGGAAAAGCCGCAGAAAGTCAATGCCAGCCTATGAAAGTAGCCAGGAGGGAGGCTGTACCCTGCAAAGCCACAGGGGCTGAACTGCCCAAGACCATGGGAACCAACCTTTTGCATCCATGTGACCTGGATTTGAGACCTGGAGTCAAAGGAGATCATTTTTTGAGCTTTGAAATTTGACTGCCCCACTGGATTTTGGACTTGCATGGGGCCTATAACCCCTTTGTTTTGGCCAATTTCTCCCATTTATAACAGCCATATTTACCCAATACCCGTACTCCCATTGTATCTAGGAAGTAACTAGCTTGCTTTTAATTTTACAGGCTCATAGGCAGAAAGCACTTACCTTGTCTCAGATGAGACTTTGGACTATGGACTTTTGGGTTAATGCTGAAATGAGTTAAGATTTTTCAGGAACTGTTGGGAAGGCATGATTGGTTTTGAAATGTGAGGACATGAGATTTAGAGGGTCCAGGGGTGAAATGATATAGTTTGGCTGTGTCTCCACCCAAATCTCAACTTGAATTGTGTCTTCCAGAATTCCCACATGTTGTGGGAGGGATCCAGTGGGAGGTAATTGAATCATGAGGGCTGGTCTTTTCCATGCTATTCTCATGATAGTAAATAAGACTCACGAGATCTGATGGGATGATCAGTGGTTTCCGTTTTTCCTTCTTCCTCATTTTTCTCTTGCTGCTGCCATGTAAGAAGTGCCTTTTGCCTCCGGCCATGATTCTGAGGCCACCTTAGCCATGTGGAACTGTAAGTTCAATTAAACCTCTTTTTGTCCCCGGTTTTGGGTATGTCTTTATCAGGAAGATGAAAACTAACTAATACTAACCATTATTGAAAACAACATGGCAGCTTCTTAAAAAATTAAAAATAAAACTTTTATAATTCAACAATCCCACTTCTCAGTATATAGCTACAAGGGACTAAAATCAGTACATCTAAAAAAATCAGTATGAAGCTTCACTTCAAATAGTCATGGCAGCATTATTCAGAATAGCCAAGATATAAAACAACCCACATTTGTGTCAATGGATGAATGCATAAAAAATATATATATGACATATATATGTCATGTATATAAAGGGGAATGTTTTCTGTCCTCTATAAAGGGAAATCTTGCAATTTGTAACAACATGTATGAGCTTGGATGGTATTATGCTAAGGGAATAAGCCAGACACAACAAGATGAATACTGAATTATCTTACTTACATATGGAATCAAAAAAAGTCAAACTCATAACAAAACAATAAAAAGAAACTTAGCAGAGTTGGGAAGGTGAGGGAAATAGGAAAATGTTGCTCAAACTCTACAAACTTCTAGATATAACATAAATAAATTCTGAAGACCTAATGTACAGCATGGTGACTATAGTTAATAATGTGTTGTATACTTGAAATTTACTAAGAGAATAGATCTTCTATATTGGCACCACCAAAAAAAAAGGTAACTATGTTAGGTGATGGATATGGGAATTAGACTGATTTGTGGAATCATTTTACAAAACATTTCATCATACACTTTGAATATATGCAAATTGTATTTGTCAATTGTACCTTGATAAGTCTGAAAAAACTCTGACAATACAATAATTTAAAAAAACAACTAACTCAGTTAGAAAATGGTTAAAAGTCTAAATAGATATTTCTCCAAAGAAGACATACAAATGGCCCATGAGCACATAAAAACATGTTTAATACTATTAGTCATTAGGAAAATGTAAATAGAAACCACAATAGAAGCTACTTCTTACTCACTAGGATGTATTTTAAAAATAAGATGAGATCAAATGTTGGTGAAGGAACGCTTATGTTTTGTAGGCAAGAATGCAAATGGTGCAAACACTTTGGAAATTTGTTTTAGCTGTTCCTCAAAAGTTTAACACAGAGTTACCATAGGACCAAAATTTCCACTCCTAATTATCTACCAAGGAGAAAGAAAAGCATATATTTACTCAAAAATTTGTATGTAAATACTCATAGTAGCATTATTCACAGTATCCCAAAGTGGCAACACCTTAAATGGCCCTCAACTGCTAACTGGGTAAATAAAAATTAATATATCTATCTGATGGAATATTGTTTAGCAATAAAAATGAATGAAATAATGATACATACTATAACATGGATGCACATTGAAACTATTCTGCTAAGTAAAAGAAGCTTTCATGAACTACATACTGTATTATTCTGTTTATTAGAAGTGTCCAGTGGGCAAATGTACAGAGACAAAAAGTAGATTAGTGGTTGCTTAGGTTTGGGGAGTCAGAAGTCATAGAGCAAAACGTGTAAATCAATATTTATTATGTACTTTTTCAATATGTCAGAAACATTTTTGGAAAAGCTTGTGGTGATAATAGCACTAACTTGTGAAATACCAAAAGCCACTATTGCACACATTAAATTGATTAATTATATGGTATTTGAATTACATTTCTATAGACACATTTTATAAAAAGAAGCAATTGAGACAAAGTAAGTTATTAAAATATGTGCCTAAATCTTTTTTTTTTTTTTTGAGACGGAGTCTCGCTCTGTCCCCCAGGCTGGAGTGCAGTGGCGTGATTTTGGCTCACTGCAATCTCCGCTCCCCGTGTTCAAGGCATTCTCCTGTCTCAGCCTACCGAGTAGCTGGGACTACCGGCACCCGCCACTACGCCCAGCTAATTTTTCTGTATTTTTTTTTTTTAGTAGAGATGGGGTTTCACCATGTTAGCCAGGATGGTCTCGATCTCCTGACCTCGTGATCCGTCCGTCTCGGCCTCCCAAAGTGCTGAGATTACAGGCGTGAGCCAACCCCCCCGGGCCAAATATGTGCCTAAATCTATATAAATATTGGCTATAAAAATAACAGTGACTAATATGGGATATTTAAAAATAAAATGATACAAAAATACTGGACAATTACAACATGGGAGATTTCAGGAAAAAGATCATCAGAATAAAGTGTTCTAAATCCCTCATATTGAAAATGAGAATTGAGAGCTGAATCAATTTGAGCTTTCTTAAGCAAAATGCTCATGTAAAAATGTAAGTTAACCACTAACAAAAAATAGCATTGAAAGTGTCTACACTTGTACAAAAAAATAATTAAAGAAAATCTGTGGATTCCAATAACAGAAAAGAAGTGGGTAAGAGAGAAACGCTGAGGAACCCTGGACTGACACTGCCTGGGTTCAAATCCTGACTGTTAATTTCTAACTACTTAACCTTTGGTATGTTACAAAACCTTCTTATTATTCAGGTTTTCTGTCTGTAACTTAAAGAGAACAATACTATGCATAATAAATTTGGAGGTAAAAATAAATTAGGTAATGCAGGTAAAATAAACTTACATTCATTGCTTTTGCTTTTTTCACAGTTCCCTCTCTCTCTCTGTTCCTCTCTTGCAAACATGCATATATGAATGGGCCTGTGCATATGCAAAACACAGAGACAGAGCTCTGAATTATGTAAAGTTCCTTGAAAATTATTTTTATGCCTAAATTATGAACACAAAATCACAATTCACAATTAGAGCAAAAAAAAGAGAGCAGCATGTGATTTAAATGCATGCTTATATATTTTATTTAATGCGGTATTCCACCATAATGAATTCCAATTCAGAAAGCAATTTCACTTGCATTTAGGAAAAAATAGTAAAGAAATTTCAATGTATTAATTAAAAAGTACTAAATAAAAACAGATGCATAAAACATGCCTTTGGGAGTAAGGAACTTGGATGGAAACTACATTCACAATATGCTTTGCCTAATGACATCTGAACTCCTGAACATGGTGAAATAAATGGCTTGGGAATCAACTTCTTTGATGAACAGAGTACACTATCTGTGTCTATAGTAACATATGACCCTGAGATAAAAGCTTACATAATCACTGTTGTTTTCAATTTTAGAACAAATATTTTATATTTTTGAGATCACTTGTCTTTACTTCAGAGTTACAAAAAATATTCCCAAAGATGTGGAACCCTAGGAAAAGATGGAGCAGGGAAGAGATGAAAAAAATGAATTTAAAAATGAAAGGCAATTGCTTGATGCTGTCTACAAAAAAGGATACTATTTCCTAGCTATATGCTGTTTCTCAGATAACTTGATCCAGGCATGGATCCATCAGATCCATGCCTTAATTGACACACAGCTACATTAAGACATTAACTTCAGCAGTGTGTCTTTCTGACAATGCATCCCAAGTTTTCTCCCATAGGTGTATTTAAGTCTTAGTCACTGACTCAAAGTGTTTCTTCTACCTTTCCTCACTATACTTTACTTTTATCCAATCCTGATTTCATCTCCTCCCTTCATAGCTTAGAAGAAAAGGTTAATGGAAATTACAGACTATGACAGCCAGTAAGAATTTGACTTAGCTTCACAGCTTCTATAGTAGTGGCCCAGAGAGGAAAAGTGGAATTCATGTTCTGTTTTAGGCAAGTGGAGGAAGTGTAATAGGACTAAAATATTCTAGGGCCAACAAATCACAAATATAGAAAAGCTTTATTTCACTTTATGTAAGACTGGTTTCAATGATAGAACAAGTTGAATTAGTAGTCATTTTGGTTAGAGGGCCAAACATAGTCTGCTGTTAGTTGTTCCACACCTTTTTTTTTGTCAGCAGCTCATTAAATATTGATAGGTAGACTTCACTAATCATATCTGGCAAGAAGAACCTAATAATTTGAATACAGAATACCACAAAAATTAGAGTATGAACAAACATTAGAAAAAAAGAATATATCTTGTTTACTTCATAATTCAAAGGATAAGTCAACTCTGCAAAATAAAAGTTAAAGAAACATCAGAAAAGAAAGTACATTAAAAATCTAATTTAGGTTTAATCTCTAGAGTCTTTGAAAGGGCTTTGTACATTTAACATTTTAGTCATTGCAATTCAAATTATTTTATGCATTCATTTGCACCAAATACATCTTTCCTCCAATATTTTGGAATAAGATATTTTATAGATACATTTATTACTGAAATAAAAAACACTCTCTCTCATAGTTAAAGTTGGTAGAGGCATTGCATTCATTTTGTAGAGTGCTCAAGAAGTTCCACCTAAGGTGGAGTAGGAGCTTTTTAGCCCCAAAGCATCTATTTCATTTATTTATTTGTTTGTTTGTTTGTTTTAATTTCCATAGGTTTTCAGGGAATAGCTGTTATTTGATTACATGAGTAAGTTCTTTAGTGGCGATTTTTGACATTTTGGTGCACCCATCACCCAAGCAGAATACATCCCATTGAATCCGATTTATAGCCTTTTATCGCGCACTCCTTTCCTACCCTTCCCCCTGAGTCTCCAAAATCCATCTTATCATTCTTTTATTTTAGACAGAGTTTTGCTCTTGTTGCCCAGGCTGGAGTGTGATCTCGGCTCACTGCAACCTCTGCCTCCCGGGTTCAAGCAATTCTCCTGCCTCAGCCTCCCGAGTAGCTGGGATTAAAGGTGCCCACCACCACTCCCAGCTAATTTTGGTATTTTTAGTAGAGATGGGGTTTCACCATATTGGCCAGGCTGGTCTCAAACTCCTGACCTCAGGTGATCTGCCAGCCTCGGCTTCCCAAAGTGCTGGAATTACAGGAGTCAGCCACTGCACCTGGCTCATTGTCACATTATTAATACCTTTGCATTCTCATAGCTTAGCTCCCACTTATGGTTAAGAACATATGATGTTTGATTTTCCATTCCAGAGTTACTTAGAATAATAGTCTCCAATCTCATCCAGGTTGTTGCAAAGGCCATTAATTTATACTTTTTTATGGATGAGTAGTATAGTATTCCAGTGTGTGTGTGTGTGTGTGTGTGTGTATATATATATACACACACACATATATATATATACACACACATATATATATATATATATATATATATATACACACACACATATACGGATGAGTGGTATAGTATTCCAATGTGTATGTGTGTATATATATACACATTATATATAAAAATACATAATGTCTACTTGTATATATTAATACATTATATTGTACATAATACATTATAATATTATACATAATACATTATAATATTATGTATAATATCATAATATATGTATATTACACATATATTATACATAATAGTAAAATATTATAATAATATACAATATTATAATATACATACAAATATATATATATAATATTTGCCCTAAATTTTTTTTATTCTCATCAAAACACTTAATGCATTATGGTTTATTCTAGGTAATTAATAATTTTTTTAAAAAAATTTAAGCTGAGGGGGTGCGTATGCAGACTTGTTACATGGGAAAATTGAGTGTCACTATGGCTTTGTGTATGAATGATCCTGTCAACAAGGTAATGAGCACAGTACCAAATAGGAATCCTTCAAACTCATACCCCTTTCTCCACCCTCCCTTCTCAAGTAGCCTCCAGAGACTATTGTTCCCTTCTTTGTGTTCATGTGTATTCAATATGTAGCTATCACTTTAAGAACACAAAGTATTTGTTTTTCTGTTTCTGCATTAGTTTGGTTAGGATAATGGCCTACAGCTCCATCCATATTGCTTCAAAGAACATGATTTCATTTTTTTTTTTTATTGCTATGTCATATTCTGTGATGTATATGGATCACATTTTCTTTACCCAGTCCACCGTTGATAGGCATCTTGGTTGATGGCATGTTATTGGTATTGTGAATAGCATAGGGATGAACATATATGTGCATTATTCTCTTTGGTAGAACAATGTATTTTTCTTTGAGTATATACATAGTAGTTGGATTTCTGAGTTGAATGGTAGTCCAGTTTTAAGTTCTTTGAGAAAACACCACGTTGCTATCTACACTGGCTGAATTTACATTCCCACTGGCAGTGTATAAAGATTGCTTTTTATCTAAATCTTTGCCAGCATCAGTTGTCTTTGACTTTTAAATAATAATCATTCTGACGGGTGTGAGATGGTATCTCATTGTGGTTTTGATTGGCATTTCTGTGAGGATTTGTGATGATGAGCATTTTTTCATATATTTGTGGACCACATGAATATCGTTTTTAGAATGGTCTTTTAATGTTCTTTGCCCATTTTTAAACTGATTTATTTGTTTTTTGCTTGGTGATTTGTTTAAGTAGCTTACAAATTCTGGATAATAGGCTTTTGTTAGATGCATAGTTTGCAAATAACTTATCCCACTCTGTAGGCTTCCTGTTTGCTTTGTGTATAGTTTTCAGAAGCTCTTTAGTTTAATTATATCCATATTTGTGACAATTTTCTGTGTGTTGCAATTGCTTTTGGGGACCTAGTCATAAATGCATCTCCAAGGCTGATGTCCAGAAAAATTTATGTAGATGGTAAAAGGAAGGGTGCCAGTTTCAATCTCCTGCACATCACTGATCAGTTATCCAAGAACCATTTATTTAATGGTGAGTCCTTTCTCTATTGTTTGTTATTGTCAACTTTGTCAAAAATCAAGTGGTTTTACATGTATGGCTTTATTTCCAGGTTCTTGCTCTCTCTCTTTTTTTTTTCTTTTCTATTTTTTTTTTAAGGACTCTTGCTCTGTCACCCAGGCTACAGTGCAGTGGGGTGATCTCAGCTAACTGCAACCTCTGCCTCCTAGGTTCATGCAATTTTCCTGCCTCAGCCTCCTGAGTAGCTGGGAGTATAGGTGTGCACCACCATGCCCAGCTAATTTATGTATTTTTAGTATAGATGAGGTTCCACCCTGTTGGCCACGCTGGTTTCGAACTCCTGACCTCAGGTGATCCACCCACCTCAGCCTCCAAAGTGTTGGGATTACAGGCGTGAGCCACCACACCCGGCCCCAGGTTCTCTCTTTTGTTCCGTTGGTCTATGTGTCTGTTTTTGTACTAATACCATGCTATTTTAATTACTCTAGCCTTATAGTGCAGTTTGATATCAGGTAATATAATACTTGTGACTTTATTCTATTTCCATACGATTGCTTTGGCTATTTGGGCACTTATTTGGTTCCATATGAATTTTAGAATTTTTTTTTCTAATTCTTTGAAAAATGACATTGGAAGATTCATAGGAATAGCATTGAGTCTGTAATTGCTTTTGGCAGTATGGTAATTTTAACAACATGGATTTTTCTTGTCCATGAGCTTGGAATGTTTTTCTATTTGTTTGTGTTGTCACTGATTTTGTTTGGAGGTGTTTTGTAATTACCTTTGTGTAGTTCTTTCACCTTGTTAAGCTTTATTCCTTGGTATTTTGTTATTTTCATAGCTATTGAAAATAGGACTCTGTTATTGATTTGGCTTCCAGATTGTATGTTATTGGTGTTTAGATATGCTGCTGGGTTTTTGCATAGACTTTGTATCCTGAAACTTTACTTAATTGGTGTTTCAGTTCTAGAAGCCTTCTGGTGGAGTCTATGGGGTTTGCTAGGTATGGAATCACACTGTCTGTGAGGAGAGATAGTTTGACTTCCTCTCTTCCTATCTGGATGCCTTTTATTTTTTTCTCTTGCCTGATTGCTTTGGCTAGGACTTTCAGTAATTAATACATTGAATAGAAATGGTGAGAGTGTAGGCATTCTTGTCTTGTTCCTGTTCTCAAAGAAAGTACTTCCACTTTTTGCTAATTCAGAATGACATTGGCTGTGGATTCATCATTTATGGCTCTTATTATTTTCAAATATGTTATTTCAATGCCTAATTTCAGGAATTCTGACATGAAGGGATGTTGAATTTTGTTGCAAGTCTTTTCTGCATCTGTTGAAATGATCATGTGGATTTTGTTATTAACATTGTTTATGTAGTGAATCACATTTATTGATGTGCATATGTTAAGCCAACCTTTTATTCCAGGAATAAAGCCTACTTTATTGTGGTGAATTAACTTTTTGATGTTCTGCTGGATTCGTTTTGCCAGTATTTTGTTGAGGATTTTTGTGTCTATGTTCATCAGGCATATTGGCCTGAAGTTTTATTTATTCATTGTGTCTCTGCTGGGCTTTAGTATCAGAATGAAGCTGGCTTTGCAGAATGAGTGTGGGAGGAGTCTCTCCTTTTTAATTTTTTGGAATAATTTCAGTAGTATTGCTACTACCTCTTCTTTGTATGTCTGGTAGAATTCAGCTTGAAATTTATCTGGTCCAGGGCTTTTTCTGGCTGGTAAGTCTTTCATTACTGATTAAATTTCATATCTTGTTATTTGTCTGTTCCAGGTTTAAATACCTTCTTGGTTCAATCTTGCAAGGCTGTGTGTTTCCAGGAATTCATCTATTTCTTCTGGGATTTCTAGTTTTGTGCCTAGAGGTGTTTATAATAGTCTCTGATGATATTTTTATATTTTTGTGTGTTTTGTTGTAGCATCATCTTTGTAGTTTCTGATTGTGTTTATTTGAATCTTATCTCTTTATTTATAAATCTAGCTAGCAGTCTATTAAACTTATTGAATCTTTCAAAGAACTGACTTTTTTGATCTTTTATATGGATTTTCTCATTTCAATTTTGTTCAGTTCAGCTTTGATTTTGTTAATTTCTTTTCTTCTTCTAGCTTTGGGGTTGATTTTCTCTTGTTTTTCTGCTTCCTCTAACTGCAATGTTAAGTTAACTTGAGATAGCTCTAAATTTTTGATGTTCACATTTAGTGATATAAATTTTCCTCTTAACACTGATTTAGTTGTTTCCCAAATATTCTGTTATGTTGTGTCTCTGTTTTTCAGTTTCATATAATTTTTTATTTCTGCCTTAATTTTTTATTTGCCCAATAGTCATTCAGGAGCAGTTTATTTAACTTCTATGTATTTGTATGGTTTTAGAGATTTTTTTGGTATTAATTTCTATTTTTATTACACGTGGTCCAAGAGTGTGGTTGGTGTGAATTGTGGGGTTTTTAATTTGTTAATAATTGATTTATGGCTGAGCACTTGGTTGAACTTTGAGTATGTGCTGTGTGTAAATGAGAGGAATATATATTCTGTTGTTTTTAGGTAAAGTGTTCTATGGAATCTATTAGGCCCAATTGGTCAAGTGTTAAGTCTACAATATCTTTGTTAGTTTTCTTCCTTGATGATCTGTTTCATGCTGTCAATGTGGTGTTGTAGTTCCCAAATATTATCATGTGGTTGTCTAAAAATTTTCATAAATCTGGAAGATCTTACTTTATTATTCTGGGTGCTCCAATGTTGTGTGTGTGTATATTTAGGATAACTTAAGTCTTCTTTTGGGTTGAACCATTTATCAGTATGTAATATCTATCTTCATCCTCTTTTTCGGTTGTTGCTTTATATTTTGTGTTATCTAAGTCTAGCTACCTTGTTCTGTATTTGTTTTTTATTTGCTTGGTAGATTTTTTTTTTTTTTTTTTGAGATGGAGTCTCACTCTGTCACCCAGACTGGAGTGCAGTGGCACGATCTCAGCTCACTGCAAGCTCCACCTCCCAGGTTCACGCTATTCTCCTGCCTCAGCCTCCCAAGTAGCTGGGACTACAGGTGCCCGCCACCACGCCTAGCTAATTTTTTGTATTTTGTGGAGATGGGGTTTTACCATGTTAGCCAGGATGGTCTCCATCTCCTGACCTTGAGATCTGCCCACCTTGGCCTCCCAAAGTGCTGGGATTACAGGCGTGAGCCACCACGCCCTGCCTGTAAATTTTTTTCAACCTCTACTTTGAGCCTATTGGTGTCATTATTTGTGAGATGGGTCTCTTGAAGACAGCATACAGTTTCCTCCTGTGTCTTTATCCAGCTTGCCATACCATGCCCTTTTAGTGGAACATTTAGCTCATTTACATTCAGGGTCAATAATGGTATGCGATACTTTGACACTGACATCATGCTGTTAGCTGGTTGTTATGTAAACTTGATTATAGAATTGCTTTGTAGTGTAAATGGGAAATGTGTTTTTGTAGTGGCATGTATTATTTTTTCATTTCCATGTTTACGACTCCCTTTAGAAGCTCTTGCAAGGCAGGTCTAGTGTCAAAATATTATCTTAGCTTTTGCTTGTCTGAAAAAAATTTATTTCTCCTTCATCGATTAAGCTTATTTGATGAAATATGAATTTCTTGTTTGGAGTTTTCTTTTTTAAGGATTTTGAAAATAGGACCCCAATGTCTTCTGACTTGTGAGGTTTCTGCTGAAAGGTCCACTGTTAGCATTAAGGAGTTTCTTTTGTAAGTGACCTGCTCCTTTTCTCTAACTGACTTTAAGATATTTTTCTTTTGTGTTGACCTTGGCAAACATGATGTCTGTTTTTCTCGGGTCTGGCCATCTCACATAGTACCTCACAGGGTTCTCAGAATTTCTCGAATTTGCATGGCAATCACTCTAGTGAGATCGGAACAATTGTCATTAACTATAACTTCAATTATGTTTTCAAGTTTCTTGTTCTCTCTCCTCTTTCTGGAATGTCAATAAGTCATAGGTGTAGTCTCTTTACATAGTTCCATATTTCTCAGAAGTTCTTTGCATTTTAAAATTCATATTTCTTTATTTTTGTTTGCCTGTGTTATTTTAAAGGAGTGGTCTTAGAGCTCTGAGATTCTTTCCTTTGCTTGGTCTATTATGTTGTTAATACTTCCAATTGCATTTTGAAATACTTGTAGGGAATTTTTTATTTCCATAAGTTCAGTTTGATTCTTTTTTTAAAATGGTTATGTCATTTTTCAACTCTTGAGTTATTTTACTGTTTTCCTTGGATTTGATTTCAACATTCTCTTATATATCAAATAGCTTCTTTACCATCAAGATTCTGAATTCTACATCTGACATTTTAGGCGTTTCAATCTGGTTAGGATTCATTTCTAGGAAGCTAGTGTGATCATTTGGAAGTAAGAAGACACTCCAGCTATTACAGTCGCTAGAGTTCTTGTGCTGGTTGTTTCTCATTTTTGAGATCTGATGAGCTTTTTTCTTTTGAAGTTACTTTCCTTTGGATATGGCTTTTTGTACTTTATAATCTTTATTGTTGGATGTGGTTGAATGGTTTTGTTTCTGGATGCTCTTAGAGATAAAGGCTCAGCTCCACACTCTTGGGCTGCATGTCCTAACTCTGGGGGACTAGAACTGGTGCAGTGGCTTTATCCTCTGGTTCCTTGAGATCAAGCCTTGTCTGGGCTAGAGGAAACCAGATACTCCCAGACTGCTGACAACAGCACTCTATAGGAGATGGCAGGGGCCATTGGTGTGGGTGTTCTAGTGGGAGGCACTGTGTGTGGAAAGTGCTCTAGCAGGAGTGTTGGGGTGCTGTCAGTGGGAGGCACTCTGGCAGGGGATGCTGTGGGTAGGAAGCACTCTGGCAGGGGGTGCCACAGGTGAGAGTACTCTAGTGGGGTCAGCATAAGCATCACAAGTGGGAGGCACTGAGGTAGGGAACATAACAGGTGGGTAACAATCCTGCATATGGTGCCGGCAATGGTAGGCTCTCCAGCATTGGGCATGGTGGGCAGAAGACACTTGGGCTGAGACAACAAGGGTGTTACACATGGGGGGGTGCTTCTGCAGGTGGGTGCCATGTGTAGAAAGTATTTCAATGAGGTTGTGGTGGGGAGGAAGGGCTCTGGAGGTGTAGGTGGGGGGTGAGAAGCACTGAGGCAGCTGTGGCACATCATTGCAGGCAAGAAGCATTCTGATGGGGGTGGGAGAGTCAGGAAGCACTCCAGTGGGGCATCGCAAGCATGAAGTGCTCCAGTGGTGGCACTGTGAGTGAGGATTATTCAGTGGGGGTTCCACAGGTGGGAAGCAATCTGGTGGTGGCAAACTCAATCTATTTTGAATTAAAATAATTAATATATATTTACCACTATCACACTGAGTTATGTTGCTCCATTATTGTCCAAAACACCATTGCCTGATTCAACATATAATTATCACAAGCATCTTTAATATTTTAATCATAATAAATTAAAGTATTTGCACTCATTCTAAATCGTCAATTAGAACAGATATAGATATTTCTATTTATTGCATGTGAGACATTTGGGAAGCATTGAGAAGGAGATAAAAATTTATAGACAATGAATTCCTTGACTCTACCAAGAATAATAACATTAATCTAGAAACAGGAGTAAAGATTCTCTACTGCTAAAATTGACAACATGAAAATGGAAGATACAAAAGTTAATTAAGTAACTAATTTTGTTAGCTCTGGCAGCTAATTTGATTCAATATATTTCTTGTTTAAAAGATTATTTTATATTATAGTTGATAGTTTTTAATCGTGGCAAAGATTATTCTTGTATATATAATAAGCAGAGCACCTTTATGCCAGGAAATTTGTAAGGTATTAATGGGAGAGTGGCTGTCTAGTTAAAGAAGTAAAGAAAACACAACTTCTGTTCTCTGGAAGCTATTTTATTTATATTTTTGTATGTTTGTCTTTTTCACTATTGTATACTAAGAATATTACACAATGCCTAACATTAGGCACTCAAATATTCGAACAAATGCAAAATTAACAAAGCTACATGGACATTACAAATACTGTAAACTCCATTCAAATATATCAAGCCCTCATTGAATCTCTCAAATTTGGGTTAAAAAGAGCAACATGGATTTGCTACAAGTACATTGGAATGTCTGTGAAAGTAGTAAGGAAATAAAGTAACTCTCATACTTCAAGCAAACCAGCTGACATAGTTGTTTTTGGGGAAATGGGTTCAATTGGTAGATTCTTCTGGCAAAATTTAAATGCTATAATGAACATAAAAATTAAAACTATAATATATGCGTATTATTTTTCCAAGTTGGAAAGCTGAGAAAGCCAAACAACTCCAGAAAAGATAATTTAACAGTGAAGCAAAGATAGTATAATGGTGTAAGTTAAGCTATTAATCACTGAGATTTTTTCTTAAGAAAGTTAATGAATCTAAATAATGCGAAAGGTGTGTGTGTATGCACATAAATATGGACATAGATATATACATATTTTAATTGATGGATTTCTATAAATGTATAGGTGAATGTGCATATAAGCTTTTTTGCCTACATACATAATTTACCTGGAAATTTTTCTCTGAAATTTGTAACAACTAAAAAGTACATTAGGCATTACAAGTACTAAAGAGGAAAATATATAAATATGAACTATTACTGGATGCCCAGGCATCAGTAATACAACTTACATACCAGAGGAGGACAAATCAAATGATCAATGGAATGGTGTCTACTGTATAAAAAAATACTTAAAAGTTTAGAGTTCCTTATTCTTTAAGGGAAGAGTAACAGTCTGTAGTTAGTGAAAGAGATGGTAAAAGAGACAGATCTAGGATTTACAAACTTCTTCAGATAATAGCGAATAGTTCTCATTTTTTGTAATGTACAAGGCGTGGTGCTGAACGTTTAACATATATTATATCATTTAACATTTACAACATTTCTATGGTATAAGTACTATTCTTACCCATTTTTGTTACTAGGGTATTTAGGCTCAGTGGGTCTAAATAACTTGCAAATAGTCTCACAGTCATAAGAAGAGTCTGAATTTAAATGTGGATCTGTTTGATATCATAGCTCATGCTCTTAATCACTGTATTACAAGGGCAGATGTGTGTGCGTGTGCACATGCATACATATGTTGAAGAGGGGATTTTTATGCATGTATATGTGTGTGCTTGTGACAGGGTAATGCTAGAAAAAGTAATTTTAAAAACTTAAGAGAAAGATATTTAAAAATTAAAAAGTAAACTGGATGCAGTGGCACAAACTTGTAGTCCCAGCTATTTGGAGGCTAAGGTGGGAGGATCTCTTGAGCCCTGGAGTTCGAGGCTGCAGTGCACTTTGATCATGCCTGTGAATAGCCACTGCTCTATAGCCTTGCCAACACAGCAAAACTCCACCTTTAAAAATAGTTTTAAAATAAAAAAGTAAATTAATGGAAAGTTTATATTCCACTGCAACTCTATACTTCCAATTTTTTTCCCTGCCTTATGTATGTTTTATTTTTTCATGTTTTTATCTCCAAGATACTATATCCATATATATATATAATATATATATAGATACTATGAACTAGGTATAGCATAGATATCTACTCATACGAAAGATATTACTATATACAGTAGTATCTATATCCATCTATTTATCTATCTATCTCTCTATACACACACACATATGGTTTTTCCTCACTAAAATGTAAACAGCGCAAGGGAGATAACTTTGTTTTGTTTTTTGGTGTGTCCCAAAACCCTAGAAAAAACCTGGCATATTCTATGCACTCAAAAAATATTTGATGAATGAATGAACATACAGAAAATGAATAAAGGACCCTAAAACTTATAAAAAATGTTCTACCTCACTGAAAATAAGAAAAATAAAAATTACTGTAACAGAAAATCAAATGTCACTCATTAAACAGGCAAAGAGGAAAAATAATTGTTGAAATAATTTTTGTTAGAGTGTAGAAAAAACACATTCTCACACATTGATGTTTGGAGTGTAAATTAGTATGAACACAATTAAGGACAGTTTAGCTATACCTATCAAAATATATAATGCTTATATTTTGTTCCAGGAATCCCATCTGCCCAATCCATAATGATTTTAAATGTTATTAATCTTAGTATTGTTTGTAATACCAAATGAATAGAATAAAAATCTAAATTTTTATTAATAAACAAGAGGTTAAATAAATGATAGCTCATCTATATCAGCTATGTCAAATCAAAATGCAATGCAAAAATATGTTTAACTAAAAAAATTTTCAGTAGTCACATTAAAAGAATAAAAAAGGCCAGGGGCGGTGGCTTATGCCTGAAATCCCAGCACTTTGGGAGGCTGAGGTGGGCGGATCACTTGAGGTGAGGAGTTTGAGACCAGCCTGGTCAACATGATGAAACCCCATCTTTACTAAAAATACAAAAAATTAGCCGGGCCAGGACGCGGGCGCCTGTAATCTCAGCTACTCAGGAGGCTGAGGCAGAAGAATCGCGTGAACCCAGGAGTCTGAGGTTGCAGTGAGCCAAGATCATGCCATTGCACTCAAACCTGGGCAACAAGAGCGAAACTTCGTCTCAAAAAAACAAAATAAATAAAGAACAACAAAAAAAGTGAGACAAGATTTAATAGTATGTTTTGTTGACCAAAGTTGTCCAAAATAGTATTATTTCAAAGTGTAATGAACATAGAAATTTCGAAATATTTTGCATTTTTATGCAAAATCTTTGAAATCTAGTATATTTTATACTTACAGAACAACTGAGTTCATTCCAAGTGCTTAGTAGCCCCATGTGTCTATCGGCTGACATACTGGGCAGTGAGGTTCTGTACCTGGGACACTATACAAATACTAAAAAAGAATAAGGTAGTTTTTTCTACTTACAGAATCTTAACTCAAAGATATATTGTTAAGTAGAAAACTCAAGAATCAGAGCAGTAAGCCTGCTACCATTTATTTAAAAATGTGTGCATGTGCGTTTGGTTAAATATACACAGACCATCCCTAAAGATACACAAGAAGTTTATAACTCTCATTTCCTTGGAGGAGAAGATATAGGTGTCTGCAGCATAGCAGGTGGGAAGGAGGAAGACTTCTTTTCATTCTATATCCTTTTTTGTATCCTTTTTTGTATCTTTTGAGTTTGAACCATGTGAATGTACTACCAATTACAAAAAAAGACAAATACAAAAACTACTTCTATATCCAGTGGGAAATGTACATTGGGATGCCAAGTAGGTATATGGAATTAAAAGGTAACTAGCTTCATAAATGGTTTAAGTAAATCTATGGATGACAAAGCCATAATAGAATATCAAAGAAAATCTAGGCTGTTTGTTTGGTATACACTGGTGGCCTTGTTCCACTCTCACAAAGCTTTTGCTATCAGTCTTAGGGACAGTAGACTATATAGATATAGTGTCTAACTCAATATGTGCTTGTTATGTTAGTATGGTTAATATGGTTCATTGTTTCAGCTAGCTCTTTTTCACAAACAAGTCAGTCTTGGAATAGAAAAGGTATGGAGTGGTTTCTGGTTGCGTAGCAATTGAGATAATATATGCAAAAGCATTGTGTGCTATTCAAATGTAAGGTATTATTATTATAATCATCATCATCAAGTGGTGGAACCAAAACCTCTTGCTCTACTCATCGTTATTCTCTCTCTGTGTGTTCTTGCTCATTCTCCTAGAAATCAGTTTTGTTTTTGTTGGTTTTGTTTTGTTATGTTTTTAATAGGTTTTAGAAGTACTATCAATGTGGGCAAATGGAGATAATGCTTGGTTATCTGTCTTTTTAAATTGAAGCTATCCAAGAGTTCTTAGGCATTCTGATTATACACAAAGGGCTACTTGGTCTTTGTTAGGAAGGCTTAGAATAAAATATATGGATGTGAATTTGGATGGTGCACCACAGTGCCTCATTGTTAGATAACTACATCTTTAAACATAGTCACTCAATTACAGATGGGCAGGTATTTCTCTTGTAAAGAACAAAATGATTTAGGCTTTAGTTTCTTATCACACAACAGAAAAAAAGAAACAGTATTGCAGTTGGTTATATAATTTCAATATAAAACCATTTCTTTATTCATGTTGGCACAATTTAATTAAGTAGGAAAAAACAATCTTGATTGCCTATTCAATATTTGGTAGATTTTAGTAAGCAAATAATTTTGTATCTTAAGAATACCAACTTCCTCATCCTAATTTTATCTTTCCTAATTTAGCATAATATTGTGATTTTGATATTTCTAGCAGGATATTTTCATTCCATTCCTTTGGGGAATTATTTAATCACATTATATATTCCTGCTTTCTTTTTTGTTTTTCTAAAGACATCATTCCATTAGTTCAAGAAGAGTGCTGCCTACTAGAATGTGAAAATAGGTTTCATTCAATTAATGAGCTGGAAACAGGGAGACATTCCATAGCAAATGAGGTTTACATATGATAATGTTGGATTTGTCATATAAGAGATTGCTTCTTTTCAACTCTTTGAAAGGACTAAATTTTGCTTTTGTAGTGTGTGCACAATGCCAAAAGAAAAGAACTTGACAAAACGTACAACAATAAAATGACTATATAATAATTCTAATGAACAAAAATTATTGTTGTTATTTTATCACAAAAGCGGACAAGTATTAAACAGTAAATATCTCAAAAGCTGACAAAAGGGAAGCATGAAGAAATTAGGGTTATGGTTCTGACATGGTGTTCTAATTACAACCACTTTCTTATTATATAACCAGAAAAATGTGGTGATATACTAAAAATAAAGCAAAACAAAACAAAATCACTACTTTATTTCAAGCACTTTGATTACTCTATATGCTTCCATGTTATTTTGCTAAAGAAATGTCAATGTTTTCTAGGCTAATAAAACTTCAGTAAAATAATGAGTTGTAAATAATCATCTCACTCTCAGTTAAATTCTAGGAGGTCTTCAGTGAATCACAATCAATTCATAAGCATAGTCAATTGTTGGCTAGTTTTGATATTGTTTTTAAGGTACTTTTGGACAAATTTCTTAGGCAGGACTGTGGAAAATTGACAGGATGAGTGCATGCTTGATTTTCTATCCAGTCTCAGAGACTTAAAGAGACAGTTAAACTTTAACAGAATTTTAGAGGTTCTGATTTAAAAGGTCAGCTTATTAAACTCATGTTTTACTTCACTTCATTAAACTCAATATTTAAATCATCGTGATTATGTCTTTTTTTTTTTTACAACAAAAGCAAAAGTTGTGATAAACTGGTCTATGAAACTCTAAATATATTTCAGTTGATAATTGCAGATACTAGAACAATTCTCCTGAGGAAGAGATGATTAAGAAATTTGTATATTTGTTTCAAAATATCATAAAAGTAAAACTCTTTTAAAATTCACTTGAATTTTAAGTATAAAGGTTAAGTATAGTCTTTAAATTATGTATTTTTCCTTATGCGACTTGTTTTTGTGAGAAATTTCAAAGGTAAGCTCTCCTAGCAGCATAAGAAGAGATTTCTCAAGTGTAGAATCAATTTCTGAAAAAAAGTCTAGAAACCAGCACTCTAACAAGTTCCCAAGGGTTTTTATGTTCAATGAATATTGAGAACCACTGTTAGAAGGATTATAATATATGCATCCCAATAAGCAATATCTGGTGAATCTACTCAGTTAGAAAAAGACTTGCTGTAAAAAGAATTCTTGAAAATATTTTTCTTTATGTCACCTACTCACTAAGCAATGGATAACCATTACTTTTTTTATATTCTTGGAAGAATAAGAGTAAGCCCTCTAACAGTTCCAAATCTGAGGACTTATAATAATCATACAGCCTCTCAGTTAATAAAAAAAATCATACTAACAATTATATTTCATCTGAAATTATGCCTGGATACAACACAAAATCCCAGGATACCATTATCAATTTGAAAGAAATGTAAATTATGACAATCTTTTCATGGTCACAAAGTATTATAATTTTAATATTTTCATATTTGCCTATTTATTTTATAATTATCTAAATTTCATCTTCCATAGAAAGTTTTAATTTAATTATATCCCATTTGTCTGATTTTATTTTTGTTGTGCTTGCTTTTGAGGAATTTGTCATAAGTTATATGCCTTGGCTAATGTCCAGAATAGTATTCTTCTAGAATTTTAATAATTTCAGGTCTTACATTTAAGTGTTTAATTCATTTTGCCTTAATTTTATATGAGATGAGAGATAACACAATTTATTGAATGTAGTCTCTTTTCCTCAGTGTATAATTTTTTCAACTTTGTCAAAGATCAGTTGGTTTTAGATATGTGGCTTTATTTCTGGGCTCTGTATTCTGTTCTATAAACCTATGTATATATGTTTATCCTAGTATCATGCTACTTTTATTACTGTAGCCTCATTGTATAATTTGAGTTCAGATAATGTAATGTCTCCAGATATCTTTTTTTATAATTGCTTTGGCAATTTTATATTTGTTCTTGATTCCATCTGAACTTTAGAATTGTGTCTTCCTAATTCTGTGAAAAATGATATATGTAACTGGATAGGAATTGCATCAAATTGGTAGATTGCTTTGGGTTGTATGGCCATTTTAACAATATTGATTTTTCCAATCCATTAGCACAGGGTGTTTTTCCATTTGTATCATCTACAATTTCTTTCATCAGTGTTTTGTAGTTCTCCTCGTAGAGTTCTTTCACCTCCTTGGTAAATTTCATTTTTAGGTATTATTGAGGTAGCTATTATGAATGAGATTAAGTTCTTAATTTTGTTCTCTTCTTGATGGTTATATACTGCTGTATAGAAATGCTATTGATTTTTTATTTTTATTTTGTATCCTGAAAATTTAGTGAAGTCATTTATCAAATCAAAGAGTCTTTCAGGGGAGTCTTTAGGGTTTCCAGGTATAAAATCATGTTGTCCATGAACAGAGATAAACTGAATTTCTCATTTCTTTCTCTTGTTGATTGCTCTGGCTAGGACTTCCACAACTATGTTGAAGAGAATTGGAAAAAGTGAAAATCTTGGTCTTTTACAAGTTCTTAGGGGAAAATATTTCCATTTTTTTCTATTAAGTATGATGTTGGCTGTAGGTTTTATGTATATGACTTTTATTATTTTGATGTATGTTCTTTTGATGTCTATGTTTTTGAGGGCTTTTATCATGAAGGGATGTTGAATGTTATTGAATGGTTTTTCTGAATCTATTGAGAAGATCATATAGTTTTATTGTTGTTGTTTATGTAGTGAATCACATTTGTTGATTTGTGTACATTGAACTATCCTTGCATTGCTAGAAAAGTCAAAATATTTTAAAAACAGCAACATTAAACCAAATTGACATGTAAACAGAAATCTCTATAAGACAATAAGCATTTTTTTCATCAGAAATTTTGAAGCCTTGAAGGATGTAGGGTGATATATTCAAAGTGCCTAATTAAAAAATATCTACTAAGATACTTTTCCAGACAAACAATTGAGGGAATTTGTCAGCACTAGACATGACTTACAAAAAATATTAAAAGTAGTTCCTAAACTTGAAATAAAATGATGTTAAACAGTTACACAAAAGCATACAATTATAAATCTCACTGGTATAAGTAAATATGTAGGCAAATAGTAATATATACAGTCATGGTAGTTCATAAATCACTTTAATAATAATATAAAATTACAAGCCAAAGATATTAAAAATAACCGTAGGTAAAAACTTTTGTTAGGATACACAATATAAAAAGAAGTGAATTATGATAACAATGACATAAAGTGGGAGGAGAAATGTAAACTTGGAGTTTTTTAGAAAAAAATATTTTTAAATGTATATGGTAGCAAAAAGAGCCTGAATAGCCAATGCAATCCTAAACAAAAAGAACAAAGCTAAGGACATCATGCTACCCAACTTCAAACTATGCTACATGGCTACAGTAACCAAAAGAGCAAGGCAACAACACAAAAGTAGACACAGACCAATGGAACAGAATAGAGAGCCCAGAAATAAGGCCATTCACTGACGATTATCTTATCTTTGACAAAGCTGACAAAAACAAGCAATGAGGAAAGGACTCCTCATTAGTACATGATGTTGAGAAAACTGGCTAGCAGAAGATTGAAACTGGACCCCTCCATTACACTGTATACAAAAATTAACTCAAATGAGATTAAAGACTTAAATGTAAAACCCAAATCTATAAAAACCCTGGAAGGCAACCTCGGCAATACCATCCTGGACATAGGAATAGGCAAAGATTTCATGACAAAGACATCAAAAACAATCACAACAAAAACAAAAATGGACAAGTGGGAGAAAATAAAACCAAAGAGTTTCTGCAGAGCAAAAGAAACTATCAACAGATTAAACAGACCACCTACATAATGGGAGGAAATATTTTCAAACTATACATCTGACTAAGGTCTAATATCCAGCATCTATAAGAAACGTAAACAAATTTAGAAGAAAACAAAAAACAAAACATTAAAAAGTGGGCAACGGATAGGAACAGATACTTTTCAAAGAAGATATACAGTTGGTCAACAATCATATGAAAAAAAGCTCAACATCACTGATCATTAGAGAAATGCAAATCAAAACCACAAAGAGATACCATCTCACTCCAGTCAGAATGGCGATTATTAAAACGTCAAAAAATAAAAAATGCTGGGGAGTTTGTAGAGAAAAAGAAATACTTATACACTGTTGGTGGGAGTATAAATTAACTCAACTATTGTGGAAGACAGTGTGGTGATTTCTCAAAGACCTAAAAACAGAAATACCCTTTGACTCAGCAATCCCATTACTGGGTATATACCAAAAGGAATAGAAAATCTTCTACCATAAAGACACATACATGAGAGTGTTCATTGCAGCCCTATTCACAAAAGCAAAGACATGAAATCAGCCTAAATGCCCACCAATGACAGACTGGATAAAGAAAAGGTGGTGCATATAGACCATGGAATACTATGCAGCCATAAAAAAGAATGAGATTATGTCCTTTGCAGGAGCATGCATGGAGCTGGAGGCCATTATCTTTAGCAAAGTAAAATAGGAATGAAAGCCAAGTACCTCATGTTCTCACTTATAAGTGGGAGCTAAATGAGGAGAAGACATGGACACAAAGAAGAGAACAGCAGACACTGGAGTATACCAGAAGCTGGAAGGTAGAAGGAGAAAAAGGATCAGGAAAACTAACTAATGGGTACTAGGCATAATACCTGGGTGATGCAAAAATCTGTACATCAAGGATCTGTGACATGAATTTACCTATATAACAAACCTGCACATTTATCCCTGAACTTAAAATAAAAGTTAAAAAGTGTAATTTTTGTATAATATCGAAGTTTAGTTTCCATTAGTTTAAAATAGTGTGTTATACCTGTAAACATTTTTATGCAAAGAAAAAATACAGTAGATATAAAAAAATACAGAGAAGAATATCAATGTATATCAATAAAAATCATCAAATCATATAGGCAAACAAGAGAGGAAAAAATGGGCAAAATATTTACAAAACAGACATTAAATAACATGTAAAAATGGTAATGGTATTAGTAACCCTTTTTAAACTAATAATTACTTTAAATGTAAATGGACTAAACTCATCAAAAGATGAAAAGTGGCTAAATGCATAATATAAAAGATCCACCTATAAATATCTACATGAGACTCTTTTCAAACTTAAAGACACACATAGCCTAAAAATGAAGGAATAGAAAAAAGATACTCCATGCAAATGGTAGCTAAAAGGGAGCAGATAAAATAGACTTTAAGTTAAAAATTATTAAAAGAGACAGTAAAATTACTATCTTTAACAATAACAGTAAAAATAATTAATACCACACTTCAATAATGGATAGAAAATTCAGATAAAAAACAAGGAAGCAGAAGACTTGAACAACACTACAGATCAAATGGTTAAAACGAACATATAGAGGACATTTCACCCAACAGCAGCAGAATGCACATTCTTCTCAAGTGCACACAGACATTCTCCATAATATATCACATGCGAAATCAGAAAAGACCTTTTAAAATTCAAGCTGTTAGAAACCATTTCATATATATTTTCCAACCACAATGAAATGAAACTATAAATCAATAGCAAAAGGTAAATGGAACAATTCACAAATACATAAAACAACACATTTTTGAACAAAAGTTAGGTCAAAGTAAATATTATGTGGGAAATTACAGAACATTTTGAGAGAAATAAAATAAAAACACAGCATACCAAAACTTATGAGATGCAGTGAAAGCAGTGCTAACAGGGAAGTGTATAGTGATAAATCCATACATTAAAAAGAATAAATATCTCAAATAAGTAACCTTATCTTACACCTCAAAAACTGAGAAAAAAGAAACTAAGCTCATAGTTAATAGATGGAAGAAAACAATAAATATTTAAGCAGAAATAAATGTAATAGGAGAAAATTTTTAAAAAATTAATAAA
This sequence comes from Homo sapiens, assembly GCF_000001405.40. NCBI lineage: Eukaryota > Metazoa > Chordata > Mammalia > Primates > Hominidae > Homo > Homo sapiens. The sequence goes on along the minus strand of NC_000023.11, from coordinate 82,286,171 downwards.
ACCAAAAGTTGGTTTTGTGAACAGATCAACAAAATTGACAAAACCTTGGATAAATTAATTAGGAAAAAAAGAGAAAAGACTCAAGTAAAATCAGAAATGAAAGAGAATGCTTTGCAAAAGATTATACAGAAATAAAATAGTGACGAGGGAGTATTATGAACATTTATATGCCAACAAAGTGAGCAACCTAGAAAAAAAAAACAATAAATTCCTGGAAATGTACAACCTACTAAGACTGAATCAAGAAAAAATAGAAAGCCTGAATAGGCCAGGTGCGGAGACTCACGCCTGTAATACCAGCAATTTGCGAGGCTGAGGCAGGTGGATCACCTGAGGTCAGGAATTTGAGAACAGCCTGGCCAACATGGAGAAACCCCGTCTCTACTAAAAATACAAAAATTAGCTAGGAACAGTGGCACATACCTGTAATCACAGCTACTCGGGAGGCTGAGGCAGGAGAATCACTTCAGCCTGGGAGGCAAAGGTTGCAGTGAGCCAAGATTGTGCCACTGCACTCCAGCCTGGGCGACAGAGTGAGACTGTCTCAAAAAAAAAAAAAAAAAAAAAAAAAAAGCCTGAACGGGCTAATAAAAATAAAAGAACTTTACCCAATAATCAAAAGCCTCCCAACAAAGAAAATCTTGGGGCCAGATAGCATCACAGGTGCATTCTACCAAACACTTAAGGAAGTATTATCCTTCCTTCTTTTCTTCCTTCCCTCCGTTCTTCCCTCTCTCGCTTTCTCCCTCCTTCTTTCTTTTCTTCTTTCCTTCATTCCTTCTTTCCCCCTTCCTTATTATTTATATTTAAAATAAAAAACAATGTTTTTACATACATATAGAGAAATTATTACTACAGTCAAGCAAATTACTATATCCACAATTCTGTCACAGGACCTTTCTTTTGGTAGTAAGAACACGTAAAATGTATTTTCTTAACAAATTTTTGATGTACAAAACAATATTAGTAACTTTACTTCTCCTGTTATACATTAGATCTTTGGACTATTTATCCTACATAACTGCAAGTTTATACCCATTGATCTACATCTTACTATTTCTTCACTTTCCCTGCCCCTGCTAACCACCATTCTATTCTCTGTTCTCTTTTCCTATGTATCTATGTATTCTGATTTCTTTTGGATTCCACATATAAGTGGCATTATGCAGTAATTTTTTCTTTCTGTGTCTGACTTATATCACTTAATATAATACACCCCACATTCATCCATGTTTTTGCACATGCCAAATTTTACTTTTTGGAAGCTAAATAATATTTCTCTCTCTCTCTCTCTCTCTCTCTCTCTGTGTGTGTGTGTGTTTGTGTGTTTGTGTGTGTGTGTGTGTGTGTGTGTAGGGATATACCTCACAAAGTTTGTATCCATTTATTGATTAATGAATATTTAGATTGTCTCTCTAAGTAGGCTATTGTGAATAATGCTGCAATCAACATAGGAATGCAGATCTCTTTAGAGCGGCTGATTTTATTTCCTGTGGCTATACATGAAAAAGAGGAACTGCTAGGTTACATGGTAGTTCTACCCTTAAATTGTTAAGGAACCTCTACATTGTTTTCATAATGGCTGTGACAATTTACATTCTCTTGAAAAGTGTACAAGGGTTCTTTTTTCTTCACTCCCTTGACACCATTTTTTATCTCTTGTCTTTTTGATAATAGCTATGCTAACAGGTGTGGAGTGATAGCTCATTGTGGTTTTGATTTGCATTTTTTCCTGATGGTAAGTGATGTTCATCATCTTTCCATGTATCTTTTGGCCATTTTTTGTGTCTTCATTGGAAAAAAAATACCTATTCAAACCCTATGTCTGGTTTTAAAATTTGTGTATTTGTTATATTTTCCCATTGATTCGTATAATTTTGTTAATGATTTTGGATATTAACACATTAGTATATCTATGACTGCAAATATTTTCTCCCAATGCATAGGCTGCCTTTTGTTTTTTTCATATTTTTTGTTATAGTGTTTCTGAAGCTTTTCAAGTTGATGCAATTTCACTTGTTTATTTTTACTTTTGTTCCCTGAACTTTTGGTGTGGTATGTGAAAAATCATTGCCAACGCTGACACCAAGAAGATTTCCCGCTGTGTTTTCTTTTACGAGTGTTATCCTTTAAGGTTTTATGTTTACATCTTTAATCCACTTTAAGTTAATTTTTATGTATAGTGTAATATACAAGCCAGTGTCATTCTTTTGCATGTGGATATCCGGTTTTGTCAGCATCATTTATTTAAGAGACTAACATTTCTTTATTGGGTCTTCCTCATGGCTTGTGAAAAGTAGCTGAGCATTTATTTTTGAGTTTATTTCTGGCCTCTCAATCCTGTTTCATTGGTCTATATGCCTATTTTTATGCAACTAGCATAGTTTTTGTTTAAATTGTTGATAATATAGCTTTATAATATAATTTAAAATCAGGAAGTGTGATGCCTAGAACTTTATTTTTAATTCTTAAGTTCCTTAAGATATGTTAGGAATTCTGTGGTTTTACATTCATTTTAGAATTTCTGTTTTTCTGTTAAAATGTCATTGTAAATTTCATAGACATGGTGTTGAATCTGTATATCACTCTGTGTAGTATGGACATATAGACATTCTGACATCAATTATTCCAATCTACAAACACAAGGATTATTTCCATTTATTTGTGTCTACAATTTTTTACTATTTTTTTTTTAAGTTTTCAGTGTATAGGTTGTAAACTCAGAAAATCTGACATAGGTCTCAGTTAATTTAGAAAGTTTATTTCGCCAAGGTTGAGGACACACACCCATGATACAGCCTGAGAAAGTCCTGCTGACATGTGCCCAAGGTGGTGGTGTCACAACTTGGTTAAAGCAAAGGCAGGAAGACTCAAAGCGGGTCACAGATACGTGAGAGACAAATGGCTACATTCCTTTGAGTTTCTGATTAGCCTTTCCAAGAAAGGCTATCAGATATCCATTTATCTCGGTGAGCAGAGGGATAAATTTGAACAGAATGGGAGTCAGATTTGCCCTAAGCAGTTTCCAGTTTGAGTTTTCCTTTTAGCTTAGTGATTTTGGGGTCCCAAGATATTGTCCTTTTACATTTCCCCCTTTTGTATTTTAAATTTCTCTGGAGAAAGCATTTTGCAAGAAAATTAGTCTCTGGTCTCAGGTTTCATCTGATCTCTCATGGCTAGGATGTTTTTTTCCTAGATGAGTAGGTCCCAAAAGCTCACTTTTAGCAGGTTGTGAAGTCTCATGTCCTATGAAGAGAACATAGTGGGGAGAAAGGAACATAAAAACAGGAACAAACAGAAGAAAAATCCTAAAAAAATTGAGATAGGACACATGAGTCTGAAGTCCATACATTCGTAAACAGGTATGAAAGTGGCTTATATATGTAAATAGGTTGCTGTTATTTTCTTCTGGCGTTTAAGTTGTCTACTTTCAGTTCACAGGGCTTTATGAAAGCACAGCATAGTATTCAGTGACTCCAAATTAGGAAAAAATGGAAAAAAATAAAAAAAATTTTGAAAACACTATTTTGAACACTTGTAGCCAAGAAAAAAATAGAATTCAGTCCAAAGTGTAGAAAATAATAAAAATTTAAAAACACTGGGCAAGACTAGAATCTAACAACAAGTGTACTGCAGTTTTGAAACACAATTTTTCTCTCTCCATTTTGGCTGAAGACAAATCATGGTAGGGCTGGTTTGCTTTACTACACTTGCCCCAATTATTTGCATGCAGTGCAGCAAGAATTTTTTTTACATAGGTTTTTAAATTGGCTTTGATGGAACTTTGTTCTACAGAGGAAATTTTGGATACAACTTCTTAAAAACCAAGCCAAGCCGTAGATTTGTGTCATCAAGTATCTATTAGTTGGGTGAATTTCCTCTCCTCTTGAGTTTCAAGATAAACCTAGGGCTTCTGGGCCTGTCAGAAAGTAACATTCATTACTTACCACTGGTCAGAATATTTGTACAGGGACTGTTTACACAAACTATGAGGCCAGTTATTCCAAGGGCTTCATTGACTCCAAAAGTCAAGTTTTATACTTAAAAGAAAGCACACCCTTCCATTCAAAGCCTTGGTTAAATAACTAGTTTCCCTAGTTGTGTCCTGTTACAAATGAAAACAGATTCTTACTGCACTTAAGCAAATAACTGTATTCCCATAAGTTAAGAATACTCACAAATAGGTTCCAAATTTTTGAGAAATCAGGTAGAGAAAAATGAATGTGTTCCATATTTTGTTCAACAGAGTATACAAAATTGTTAAAAGCTGTCAGTAGCTCAAAAAAATGTGTAGGACTGAAAAACAACAAAGAATTAGCAAACATTTTAAGCAAAATGTCAAAAATATTAGTTCAGTCCACACAGTTAATTACTGTTCTGCTTGATACTCATGAACATTTTAGCTCTCCATGAGTCCTGAAAGTTTTTCCTCTATTTTGATGTCACAATGTCCAAAGTTATCAAAAACCTGCATTCAAGGGCACCTGTTAGTTTTATAGCTGATTATAAAACCACCCGCTAAAGAGGACCAAAACAAGAAAAGAATTGTCTGTGGATGAAAAAAGGGTTTAGGGCAGCCATAGACAAAGGCACAATTGACAAAGAAATTTGTTACTTCTGTGGCACACAATAATTTTAACATAACAATTATGATTATTACTTATAACTTACACTCAGTCATATCAGAATTATAGGAGTTTTCCACAATTTTGGAACACATACAAATAACATACTTACTTATACAAAAACAGCCCAAAGAAAACAAACACCATTTTGTATTTGACAATGCTTCCTGTATAACTTTATACCAAATAAGCCAAAATATGATATTTTTGGACTGTAGGAAACCTAATATTTAAAAATATTAAGTAGGTCAGAAAAATACATAATTTGTAATTTGATTTTGGAAAGTCTGTCAAATATCAAAGGTTTAAAACATTTGATATCACAAAATAGGATTACAGGTCATTGTAAAGTCATTCCTTTAATTAAAGTGATAACTAAAGGATTTCAAAAAAAAGTAAAGCCTTCATTCTTTGAGAGAAGAGACTTAATTTTTCAAACAAGAAGCCCTGATAAAAACAGCCTCAAGCCAATTAAACTTTTTTCAAAATTTTGTAAACAATCTGTAAAATTTAATCTTGATTATAAAATATAATGTCCATAAGCCTTCAATCATCTTTATAACCCTAATTAAAGAGTTGGTTTATGCTTCAAGAAAACCTTGTTACTCTGACACAGGGCTCCATATACTGGTCTTGCATTAGTGTGCATTTGACATTAATGATTAATTTATAGAGAAATTAAACTTATTTTGTCTCTTAAATCGGCCCTTAGAATTTCACATGCCCACCTCCTCTGCGATAGACCCTGGGCCTTGAGGAATTAAATGTCTTTAATTTCTGGCCTTTTGTCTCAGAAATGTAGTTTATTTTGATTGGCATATTCTATGGGGCCTGAAGATGAAGCTTTAATTGCTGTCTGTTTTTAAGATTTAGCAGTATTGATATCCTTTTTAGACCAAGGAGTCAAAGCCCTGTAACTCAATGTCACAAGGACTTTAAAAGCACATTCAGGAAAATATGTGGATATAATAACCTTAATTAAAAAAGCAATTTATCTCAGCTTTTTCTAAGCAAACCAAAACTTAATATGACAGCTTGAGCATATCAAAGTTTTTGTTTTTGTTTTTGTAAATCTTTTTATTATGACTTACACTGACTGTTCATAACATGCTTAAACTTTCTTGTTTTTCCTGAACATCCCTCCTTCTTAAACAACCATTTATTTTATGATTGAATTTATTATACAATATTCTTTATCATACAAAATTATTTCTCTTTAAGCTTTCTTACCACAAAAAACCTCCTTTATTTTATAACATTTTTACATCTGTTTTTATTTCCTTGTTTCTTTTACCTTGTTTTATACATAACCTATAAATAAACTTTGAATTAGACAAAACTTACTTGCCTTTTTTTTTAATAAAGGACATACTTCTTTTTTTAGCAAGAATGTTTTCCTACAACATATATTTATTAGAAAATACCCAAACAATAAAATATCTATTATGTAATTTAATATAACTGTATGTTCTAAATTATGTCCATCTTGTCTACAAGTATTTATCCCATGACAGTTACCTAATTATTTTATTGTAATTGTTTACATAAATTATTTATGAAAACTGTGATAGTCATGATTTAAAGTTATAAAACTGCCATTGCAAAATTACAGTAAGGATAGTAAATGAAGGATTTGACTTAACTGGCTCCATCTTGCTCTTAACCTCCAAGCTGTACTTGTTAATTCCTGGGCATAGGCCGAATTAACTTTGGAAGAAAGTTATAGTTCAGTTATGAAACAAAGACGATAACAATCCTTTCCCTAAACAAACCTCTTTATTGACTGTGGACTAGAATGCCTAAAACCAAAAGATTACAAGTTATGGTATTCTTACTGAATTCAAGATGCAGCTATTTTCATTAAACCCATATCAATGTCTTATTTATTCAAAAATTACACAAGCAAAGATCATTCTGTTTTGGGCTGGGTTTATAGTTTTGTAACCCCATGCCAAAATTTGACATCTTATAGCATTTGGCAGAGATAAATATAAAATTGCTTAATTAATAAATGCAAACAAAAACGTATGCTCACAATTCTTAAGATATTTTTAATATTACTTTACCAATAATTTTAAAGTTAGCTGATTTATTAAAGATTTTACTTAAGTTACATAAACTTGAAAAAGGATTTGACTACTCTTTCTTTTTCCTGATAAAATATTTGATTAAATGCTTGTATTTTTAAGCTAATTAATTGGAATGCTTTTATATATTTTCAGTAGGAAAACATTGTGTACACAGCATATAAATACATAGACGTATTAGGCATTGCCAATGGAAGTACAGTTCATATATTCACAAAGATTACTTTGCCCCCTCTTTTTTTTCGTATCTTAGACATTTAGATTCTTGATAACCTGTTTTACAACCCCAGGTAGTGTTAGCTAAATAGCCTTAAATTTGCATACTAAAGAAAACAACTCAGGTGAAAATTGAATAGCAAAATTTACACCATAATGTACAGAGAGAAAAAGCTGGTGGTGCTTGAAGAACGTGTTTTATTTTTCTTTGAGCAAAATTAAACATAAAATTATAAAAATCTATGATAGGATTGTATAAGGAGACCAATTTTATTAGATAGGAACTACCTATCTTTTAACTGTTTCTCTGAGCTCTGGGCAGAGCACAATTTGAATCCTGACTCTCCAAAAAGGGAGAATTATTATAAGTCTAGACCGTGTGATGCTTTTATAGTGCACTTAAAAAAAAAAACTTTGTGTGTTTCAGGCGCTGTGACTCACTCCTGTAATCCCAGCCCTTGGGGAGTCCGAGGTGGGCAGATCATGAGGTCAGGAGATGGAGACCATCCTGGATAACACAATGAAACCCTGTCTTTACTAAAAATACAAAAAAATTAGCTGGGCATGGTGGTGGGCACCTATATTTTCAGCTACTTGGGAGGCTGAGGCTGGCAGTGAGCTGAGAGATCATGCCACTGCACTCCAGTCTGGGCGGCGGAACGAGACTCCATCTAAAAAAAACTTAGTGTGGCAGAGTGTGTCAGAAGCTCAAGGTGTGGGGAGAGCGTCAGCTATTTATATGCACCTGTCTGCTAAGATTAGACCCTAAGTATGTTCTTCTGAGGTGGCAATTTATTAAAAGCCACTGAATGTCTTAGAGATCATTCCTTCCAGACACCTCACGTGATTCTCAGTAACCTGAAAATACCCCAAAAGGCTGAGGGGAGCAAAGTGCTCTTATTTCTTCAGAGTGGAAGATTCCACACTCATGAGCTAGAGGATTTGGAGTTGGTCAAATCTGATAAGGGAAAAAATCAAAATATATACACACAGAAAGCAACCCAACAAGACAGAAACAAACAACAAAACAGTTAAGCAAAATTAATAATTATCATACAAATTATTGTTATTATTATCATTATTATTATTTCAGCGTGTTCTTAGTGTAAGCAGAAATTATCACCAGCTGGTTATTACATGATAAATTTAGTTGTCTAAAAAGATTTTGCAAGACAGAATCACAAAGCAGTTTCTTACCTAGTGATAATTCTCAGGCTGTAGACAGCTCTCTACTACCCTAGAAGCAGGAAAAATAACTCATCTTCCCTTTTGGAAGTGAGCTTAAACTTCATAAAGGAGTTACCTGTCTTCTATCATTATGGAAGCAGGAAAAATGTGTCTTCCTTGTGTCGGAAGCAAGTAAAACTCCAAAAATAGGAGTTGAACAGCAAAAACCACATTCTTCTACTGGCCTCCAAAAATTTGTTCTACTCAAAGACAAGATAAATTTATTTAATTACAATAGCTTCAAAGATTCTTCACTCAGTTTACCATCAACTCCAAAGTCTAAGGCCAAAGTTTTATCTAAATCAGCTATGGTTGAGACTCAGGGCACAGTTTATACTCAGGCAAAGGTTTTTTTTTTTTTTTCCACCTGTGAGCCTTTGAAATCAAACGAGTTATGGAATTCAAATATTCAGTAGTGGAACAGAAATAGAATATATAATTGTATCCCAAAAGAGAGAAATAGAAAAGAAGAAAGGAGTAATATATATTTAGTAAGTAAAAAACAAAACAAAACAAAAAAGCAACATAACAGACCACATTAAATCTGAAAGCTTGAATATAATATTTTTTGACTGCATATATTACCATTTGGATGCACAGGACAGAGGTTGGGCCTCCAAGGACCTGGGGATCCCCACTCCCTTGGCTTTGCTGTGTGCAGCCTACACTTTAGCTCTTATGCATTACAATTGCATGTATGCACTTTCCCAGGCTTCTGCAGTATGCTGGTTGCTCTATAGTTCTGGGTTGTGAGGGCCATCTACAGAAGCTCTGCCCATCTGAGAGGTCTCTGCCTAAGCCCCAAGGCTCTTAAGGGTATCCTTTGAAATATAGGTAGAGGCAGACATGCCTCCACAACTTGTGTACTCTGCACACCTAAAGAATTAATACCATATGAATGCTGTTAATGCTCACTGCTTGTATGCTTCAGAGTGTCAGTCTTATCTGCACCTGGGTCCACCATAGCTGAAGTTGGAGCAGTTGATATAGTTTGGCTATGTCCCTACCCAAATCTTATATTCAATTGTAGTTTCCATAATTCCCACATATCGAAAGAGGGACCTGGTGGCAGATATTTGAATCATGAGGTTGGTTTTCTCCATAATGTTCTCAAAGTAGTAAATAAGTCTCACAAGATCTGAGTTCACAAGAGTTCCCCTGCACAAGCTCTCTTGCCTGCCAGCAAGTAAGACATGCCTTTGCTTCTCTTTTGCCTTCTGCCATGATTTTGAGGTCTCCTCTGCCATGTGGAACTGTGAGCCCATTTAACCTTTTTCCTTTATGAATTACCCAGTCTCAGATATGTCTTTATTAGTAGTATGAGAATAGACTAATAAGGTAAATTGGTACTGGTAGAGTGGGGTGTTGCTGTAAAGATACCTGAAAATGTGAAAGCAACTTTGCAACTGAGTAACAGGCAGAGGTCAGAACAGTTTGAAGGGCTCAGGAGAAGACAGAAAGATGTGGGAAAGTCTGGAACTTCCTAGAGACTTGTTGAATGGCTTTGACAAAAATGCTGATAGGAATATGGACAATGAAGTCCATGTTGAGGTCGTCTCAGAGTGAGATGAGGAACTTGTTGGGAGCTAGAATAAAGGTGACTCTTTCTATGTTTTATCAAAGAAACTGATGGCATTTTGACTCTACCCTAGAGATTTGTGGAGGTTTGAACTCCACAAGAGAGATGATTTAGGATATCTAGTGGAAGAAAGTTGTAAGTGGCAAAGCATTCAAGAGGAAAGAGAGCATAAAAGTTTGAAATATTTGCAACTTGACAATGTGATAAAAAAGAAAGAAAGTCATTTCAGGGGAGAAATTCAAGCCAGCTGCAGAAATTTGTGTAAGTAACAAGGAGCTTAATATTAACCACCAAAACAATGGGAAGCATGTCTTCAGGGAATGTCAGAGACCTTCACAGCAGCCCCTCCCATCACACACCTGGAAGTTTAGGAGAAATAAACGGTATCCTGGGTCAGGCCCAGGGCCCTCTTGCTGTGTGCAGCCTAAGGACTTGGTGTTTTGTGTCCCAGTTGCTCCAACTTTGGTGAAAAAGGTCCAAGGTACAGCTCAGTCCATGGCTTCAGAGGGCACAAGTCCCAAGTCTTAATGGCTTACATGTGGTGTTTGGCCTGCGGGTGCACAGAAGTCAAGAATGGTTTGGAAACCCCTACCTTGATTTCAGAGGATGTATAGAAATTCATAGATGTCCAGTCAGAAGTTTGCTGCAGGAGTGGAGCCCCCATGGAGAACTTCTGCTCAGGCAGTACAGAAAGGAAATGTGGTGCTAGACCCCCACACAGGGTCCCACTGAGTCACTGCCTATTGGAGCTGTGAGAAGAGGGCCATCGTTCTCCAGACTCCAGAATAGTAGATCCACCAATAACTTGCTCCGTGCACCTGGAAAAGCCACAGACACTCAATGCCAGTCCATGAAAGCAGACAGAAGGGGAGCTGTACCCTGCAAAGCCGCAACAGCGGAGCTTCCCAATGCCATGGGAGCCCACATCTGGCATCAATGTGACATGGATGTGAGACATAGAGTCAAAAGATATTATTTTAGAGCTTTAAGATTTGACTGCCCTGCTCAATTTTGGACTTGTATGGGGCCTGTAGCCCCTTTGTTTTGGCCAGTTTGTCTCATTTGGAATGGGTGTATTTACCCAATGCCTTTACTCCCATTGTATGTAGAATGTAACTAACTTGCTTTTGATTTTTATCAGCTCATACATGGAAAGAAATTGCCTTTTCTCAGATGAGATGTTGCACTGTGAACTTTTGAGTTAATGCAGAAATGAGTTAAAACTTTGGGGAATTGTTGGAAAGGCATGGTTGATTTTGAAATGTGAGGACATGAGATTTAGGAGAGACCAGGGGTGGAATAATATGGTTTTGCTGTGTTCCCACCTAAATCTCATCTTGAATTGTAGTTCCCATAATTTCCATGTGTCATGGGAGCAACCTGGTGGGAAATAATTGGATCATGGGGTTGGTTTCCCCCATACTGTTCTCATTGTAGTAAATAAGTCTCATAAGATCTGATGTCTTTATAAAGGGAAGATCCTCTGCACAAGCTCTCTTGCCTGCTGCCATGCAAGATGTGACTTTGCTTCTTTCTTGCCTTCTGCCATGACTGTGAGGTCTCCCCAGACATGCGAACTTGTGAGTCCACTTAACCTCTTTCCTTTATAAATTATCCATTCTGCATAAGTCTTTAATAGCAGCATGAGAACAAACTAATACAGTAGCTGAGGAGTACTGCACTGCAGTGTGGGGAGCAGAAAACTGAGGCAGCCATAGGCAGCAAACCTTAAAGTGCCACTGGGCACCTTGGTACCTTCCCTTAAAATCTTTCTGCCTCCAAAGCTCTAGCACTCTTGTCCTGTGATGGATGTGGCTGCCTCAAAGACCTTCAAATTGTTTGAGGAGCCATTTTCTAATTATTTTGATGAATAACCCCTGACTTCCTTCTAGCCATACTAATCTCCTTATCAGATGGTCCCTTGGAGAAACCCTTGGTTTTCTCATTTCAACAGGATTTTTTATTCTTTACATGACCAGGCCAAGAATTTTTCAAATCTTTATGTTTGCCTTAAATAATTGCCATCTTTTCACATTCTTTATGAACAGTTAAGGGAAGCCATGCATCATCCAAAATGCTTGATACCTAGAAATTATTTTCTGCCAAATATCGTAGATTATTGCTCTTGAATTTTTCCTTTGACAACGTATTAGGGCATACATAATTTGGCCAAGATTTTTTTGATATCCAAAGTGAAAAAAAAAGAAATAACATTATCTCTTTGCAGATGACATGATCCTATATATAGAAAACCCTAAGAAAGATCCCAAAGAAGACTATCACTTAAGTCATTTCTAAGGAGAATGAGGCTTTCCTTTCTCTTCTCTTCTTCTGAGTCCTCACCATAATTGCTCCTAATGCACCATTTATAGTAATGTAAACTTTTCTCAGCATACACTTCAAAACTCTTTCATTCTCTACCTATTACTTAGTTCTAGTAATGCTTTCACATATTTAGGTGTTTGTTATAGGTACTTCCTATTTCTGATATCAGTTACTGCCATTGTTCATGCTGCCACAACAAAATGCCTAAGACTGGATAGTGTATAAAAATAAAATAAATTTATTTTTTTAAACTTCTGAAAGTTGTGAAGTTCAAGATTAAGTAATGACATCTGGTGAGGGCCTTCTTGCTGTGTCTTCACATGTCAGAAGGCAGAGGACAAGAGAGTTCCAACTTCCTCCATCAAGACCCTTTATAAATTCACCTAATCCCTGTCATGACGGAGGAGACTTCATGACCTAATCATGTCTTTGATGTCCCACTTCTTATTGTTATCATATTGGTAACTCCTGAATTTTGGAGAAAATATATTAAAAACATAGCAGGATTGTTCTCTTGATATATATTTTAGATAAATAGTTATTGGTATAAAGAAATGCAATTGATTTTTGGAGGTTGATTTTGTATTGTACTAATTTACTAAGTTTATTTACTAGTTCTAACAATCTTAGGAAAATCGTTTAGGGCTTTCTACATATAGAATCATGTCATCTGCAAAGAGATAATATTATTTTTTATAATTTGGATGCCTTTTATTCTTTTTTAGCATGTCTCATTGCTCTTGCTAAAACTTCTATTAAATTAATATGTTGAACAGAAGTGGTGAGAGTGGGCATCCTTGACTTTTACCAGATCTTACATTTAAATCTTTCAGTTTTACATGATTGATCATGATATTAACTTTAGGTATTTTATAATTGGCTTTTATTATATTAAGAAATATGTATCCTATACCTATTTTATTGAGAGTTCTTATCATAAAAGTATGTTGAACTTTGTCATATGCTTTCTCTACTTCTATTTATGTGATCATGTGGTTATCTTCTATTCTGTTAATGTAGCATATCACATTTATTTTAATATGTTAAAACAACCTTGCAACCCCAGGATATACCCTAATTTGTTAGAGTGTATACTCTTTTAGAAATGTTGTTGAATACAATTTGCTAATATTTTTATTGAAGATTTTGGCATCTATGTTTAATAGAGCTATTTACCTGTAGTTTTCTTCACTTGAGTGGTCTTTGGCTTTGGTATTCAGGCAATGGTGGCCTCATTAAATGAATTAAGAAGTATTTCCTCTACTTTTTTTGGTGAAATATTAATATGCACTGGAATTAAGTATTTGAATTCTTTGGTAGAATTTAAGCTGTGAAGCCCTATGGTACTGTGCTTTCTTTGTTAGGAGGATTTTAATTACCACTTCAGTCTCCTTATTTGTTATTGGCCTGTTTTGGATTTCTTTTTCTTCTTGATGTAGTCTTGATAGGGAATATGTTTCTAGAAATTTATCTACTTACTCTAGGTTATTCAGTTTTTTGGCATATAGCTGTTCATAATAGTCCCTCATGATTCTTTATTTTTATTTGATAGTTGTAACTAACATCTCTTCTTTCATTTTTATTTTATTTAAACTATCTTCTTAGTTTTTCTAAGAACATGTTGAGTTTCTTTATATTTTAGTTTTATTTTTTCTATAGATTTTGATTGCGTATTTGAATTTTTTCTGATCTTATATTCATTATTTTTTGGCTTCTGTTAATTTTGAGCTTAGTTTATTTTAAATTTTATTGAAGTATAAAATTAAGTTGTTTATTTCAGATCTTTTTCTTGAATGTAGGTATTTATTATTATAAACATTCATATTATTATTTTTTGCATTTCTCATGTTTTACATTGTGTTTGCTTTTTATGTTCTTCTGAAGATATTTATAAAATTTCTGTTTTTTTATTTCCTCATTGACCTGGCAATCATTCAAAATAGTGTAATTCAATTTCCACCTATTTGTGAATATTCTCCTTTTCTTTTTATTGTTTCTCGTTTTATTCTATTTGCTCTAAAATTATTAAGACAACTTCAATCTACTTAAATATGTTAAGACGTGTTTTGTGACCTAATGTGATCTATCATTGAAAATGTCCTGTGTGCTCTTGTGCAGAATGTGGATTTTTCTGTTGTTAGGTTTATAGTATTTTCCAAGTTTGCTGGATTTTTAAAATTGATTCTCTGTCTGAAGATTCTATGTATTATTGAAAGTGGGGTACTAAAATCAATTACTACTATTTTATTGCTATCACTTTTTTTCATTCAGATGTCAATATTTTTTCTATATATTTAGGTGTCCTGATTTGGGGTGTATGTATTTACAATTGCTATATCTCCTTCCTTTTATTATTATATGATAACCTTTTGCTTCTAGAGACAGGATTTGACTTAATGTGTAATTTGTCTATTAAAAAATAACCCCTCCTCATTTTCTTTGTTTACCATTTATGGAATATATTTTCCTTTTGCTGTAGTCTGAATGTATGTGTTCCTTTAAAATGTATATGTTGGAACATAATACCCAATATGATAATATTAACAGTTTAGGCTTTTTGGGAAGTGATTAAGTTATAAGGACTCCACTCTTATGAATGAGATTAATGCTCTTACAAAAGAGGCTGAAGAAGTGCTATAGTCTTCTTTTGCCCTTCTGCCTTCCATTAAATGAAGACACAGCAACAAGATGCCATCTTGCAAGCATAGAGTGAGCCCTACCCCTCCAAAAAGTACAGGTTAGTACAGGCTATAAATCTTGGCAGCTTCCATGTGGTGCTAACTTTATAGGTGTTATTATGTTATATTAGAAAATTCAAAGGAATTTTCCAATAGCCTAGGGACCCACGCAGAGAACTGCTGCGGGGTTGAGGCCACTGTGCAGACAGCCCTAAGTAGGCCAATGCCTAGTGGAGATGCAGATGTGGATCTGCTTCAGGGAGCCCAAATAGGATAATGCTAAGTGTAGCTATGGATATGATGCCAACCCCAAGACTCCATACTGTAGAGCCACAAAAATCTGATTTTAGCCTCATGGATCGGAAGAATCAATATCTTGAAAATGGCCATACTGCCCAAAGTACATTTTAGATTCCATGCTATTCCCATTAAAATGCCATTGACATTCTTCACAGAATTAAAAAAAAAACTACGTTAAAATTCATATGAAACCAAAAAAAGAGCCCATGTAACCAAGACAATCATAAGCAAAAAGAACAAAGCTGGAGGCCTCACACTACCCAATTTCAAATTATACTATAAGGCTACAGTAACCAAAACACCATGGTACTGGTACAAGAACAGACACATAGACCAATGGAAAAGAATAGAGTACTCAGAAATAAGACCATACACCTACAACTATCTGATCTTTGACAAACCTGACAAAAACAAGCAATGGGGAAATGGCTTCTTATTTAATAAATGGGGCTGGAAGAACAGGCTAGCCCTATGCAGAAAATTGAAAATGGAACTATTTCTTACACCATATACAAAGATTAACCCAAGATGGATTAAAGACTTAAATGTAAAACCCAAAACAATAAAATCCTAGACGAAAATTTAGTGCAACACTATTCAGGACATAGGCATGGGCAAATATTTTATGACGAAAAGCCAAAAGCAATTGCAATGAAAGCAAAAATTGTCAAATGGGATCTAATTAAACTAAAGAGCTTCTGCACATCAAAAGAAACTATTATCAGAATGAACAAACAACCTACAGAATCAGAGAACATTTTTGCAATCTTTCCACTGACAAAGGTCTAATATCCAGATTCTACAAATAACTTAAACAGATTTACAAGAAAAAAACAAACAACCCCATAAAAAAAGGGCAAAGTACATGAACAGATGCTCCTCAAAAGGCGACATTCATGCAGCCAACAAATATATGAAAACAAGCTTACCATCATTGATCATTACAGAAATGCAAATCAAAACCACAATGAGATACCATCTGGTACCTGTCAGAATGGCAATTATTAAATAGCCAAGAAACAACAGATGCTGGTGAGGTTCTGGAGAAACAGGAATGATTTTACACTGTTGGTGAGAATGTAAATTAGTTCAACCACTGTGGAAGACAAGTGTGGCAATTCCTCAAAGATCTAGAAACAGAAATACAATTTGACTCAACAATCACATTACTGGATATATACCCAAAGGAATATAAATTATTCTGTTATAAAGATACATGCATGTGTATGTTTATTGCAGCACTATTCACAATAGTGAAGACAAGGGATTAACCCAAGTGCTCATCAATTATAGACTGGGTAAAGCAAATGTGGTACATATACACCATAGAATACTATGCAGCCACAAAAAGGAATGAGATTATGTTCTTTGCAGGGACATGGGTGGAGCTGGAAGCTGTTATTCTCAGCAAACTAGCTCAGGAACAGAAAATTAAATACTGAATATTCTTACTTATAAGTGGGAGCTGAACAATGAGAATGCATAAACACATGGTGGGGAGCAACACAAATTGGGGACTGTCAGGGTACCAGGGAAATGGAGAGCATCAGGAAGAATAACTAATGGATGCTGGGCTTAATACCTAGGTGATGGATTGATCTGAGCAACAAACTACCATGGCACACATTTACCTATGTAAGAAACCTGTACATCTTGCACATGTAATCAAGAACTGATTTTAAACTTTTGAGTTAATGCTGAAACAAGTTAAGACTTTTGGGGTTATTGGAATGGGATGAATGTATTTCACATATAAGAATGACTTAGATTTTGGGGGGACCAGTGGTGGAATGCTCTTATTTTAATGTACGTATGTGTTGGAACCGAATACTTGAAATAACAGTATTTAGAAGTGGGGCTTTTGGGGGAGTGATTAATTTATGAGTACTCCACTCTCATAAATGGGATTACTGTTCTTATAAAAGAGGTTGAACAGAGCAACCTGGTTCCATTTTTGCCCTTTGAGCCTTCTCCAAGTGAGGATAAAGCAACAAATCACCATATTTGAAGCAGAGAGCATGCCTTCACCAAATATCAAAGCCAGAACCTTAATCTGGGACTTCCCAGTCTCCAGTTGGTGAGAAAAAAATTGTTATTATTTATAAACTACTGAGTGTAAGGTCTTTTTGTAGCAAGAACAGTGCTACTTTTTTCTATTCACTTCTTCACTTTCAACCTTGCCTTTCAGCCTATAATATCTTTAATCTAAAGTGAGTGTCCTATAGACAGCCAACAGGTGAATCCTGTTTTTTCTTGTTGTGATTTGGCCCTTTCTTTACTCTCTTGTTATTTTCCTTTTATTTTGTTGATGATAATAGCATTTGTATTGCTAGATTTTGATACATTCATGTCATTTAAAAATAGTTTCCCTTTATGTAGTTTCTACGGTTATTTAGTTTTTGTGTGGTTACCAAGGGACTTAAATCAAACATCTTTTTTATAACAGTCCATTTTAAGCTAACAAATTCATTTTCCTTATATGCAAAAACTTTCTGGTTTTACCTCTTATCCCCCCACATTATACACTATTATTTTCTAAATTTTTAATTATTTTATTATTCAATTAATTTATGCAATTTAGTTATAGTTGTTTTAAATATTTTTGTATTTTAACTTTTAAGGTAGAATTACAATCAATATACTCACTGCTGCTATAGTAGTAAAATATTCCTTTTTGTCCACACACTTACCTTTGTCTATTAGTTTTATACTTTCTTAGGCTTTCATGATGATTCTTAGTGCCTTTCTATTTAGACTTGAATCACTCCTTTAGCATTTCTTGTAAGACAGGTCTAGTGGGAAAAAACCCTCTCATTTTTGTTTGAGAAAGACTATGTCTTCTTCATTTTTGAAGGAAAAATTTGTAGGCTATAGTATTGTTGCTTCAAAATTGTCTTTTGTTCTTTCAACACTATTAATTATCTAACTCCCTTTTGGCTTGCAAAGATTCTGCTGAAAAATCCTCTAATAGTCTTAAGGGACGATCCTGGTATATAACAAGCCACTATTCTGTTGCTTCCTTCAAAACTCTCCTTATCTTTAAATTTTGACAATTTGATTATAATGGGTTCTGATGTGGGTCTCTTTGAATTCATTATTTGTAATGCCCCTGGGAATTCATGAATCAGGATATATTTTCTTCCCCACATTTGGAAAGTTTTCTTCCATTTTTTAAAAATAAGGTTATCGCTTTTGCCCCTCTGGAAATTTGGTAATGATGATCCACTTTATTGTATTCTATAAGTTGCTTAGTCTTTTCCTCAATCTTTATTAAATTTTTTTCTTTCTGCTTCTTAGAATAAATAACTCCCAGTAACTCATCTTTGTATTTTCTGATTTTTGACTGCTTCAACCTAGTCTGCCGTTAAAACTGTCTGAGGAGAGCAAAGATAACCTAGCGGCCATCAAGCAGACCATCTGGAGGCAGAACTTCTTATCTGAGAAATTCAGAACTAATTATTCTTCCCTATTATCTAACACTAGCATCTGGTGTCAGCCTTCTTTCCTCAAAAATTACAAGTTACTAGAATTTCTATACATCTCCGGAATGCATGCATTTTGAAATTCATTGTACAACCCTTGATAACATCAAGGTACACAAATGTGTACAAATGTAATCATTTACCATAACCTGCATAACAAATATGGTCTAAATTACCCTTAAGCTCCTGCTTTAAGTTCTATAAATACCCGTAAGGAAAATCCACCATAGTAAACTTAGTTCTCTCTTGCTGAAGTGCCCTGTTGCACTCTGCTGCAATGTTCTTTCTATCTAATAAAACTTTCTGTTTCAAACCTACATTGTTGTTGATAAATTCTTTTTACCATCTTTGAGCCAAACACTCTTTGCTGCTGAGACTCTGAAACCTCACCTGACATCTTGGTGGTCCGTACAGGGACTTTAATGGAAATTTCCTCTTCCTTTTTCTCCCTACTTCACTCAGTGGTCTGGTTCTTAACTCTTGGGAACTGAAGGTCCTTGGCGGAGGCAGCCCTTCGGCGGGATCCTGAAGCCTTAGAGAAGGGATACCTGTCTGTCATTGCCCTTAGGGCTGAGGAACTGGCCAGGACTCTTTTCGGTTTTTGGACTTCCAGTGAACCAGCTTACATATTCTTTGGCAATTGATAGTTTCTAGCCAAAGGCCACTCCCGAGTGTTACCCGAAGTTGAAGACAAAAGAGCTAATTTGCTATTGCCCACTAGGGTGGCAAGTCCACTTTCACTATAACACTCTGTAAACCTTTTCTTGGAAATGAACAGCGGTGATCTCAATTCTGCGTAGACACACTCAGTTGGTAGCAGCCCCGATTTTGGATTCATCTTTGTCAAAGACACCACATCTGAAGGTAAGGGTAAGTTTCTCTTCACATTAGGTTTGAGTTGATGATGCACATAAAGGCACAGATGGACTGGTCATCCAGGCAATGACAGGCCATCTATTCATGGTGGGATACCTCCAAATAGAGTGAGCCAAAAGGAAAACTGAAGTCCGAATTTCTCAGAAATTCCTCAGGGACCTTTTAGTCCCTCATCTAAAACCAACGTGAGTTCAGTTTATTCTTTGATTCATCCAAATTGCCCCTGGGTTGCATTTTAAAAAAATTGGTCTCATTTTGATGCACAAACTCTCAAAAAGCAGGTCTTCTTGGCTTCATACCAAACCCCAAGTTACCTAAAAATTGTCACGTTTCCAAAGAACTTCTTCCTCCCTCCCTGATTCCGATGTCTTAGATAATCCTTCCTTTTGCCTATCACATGCTCCTCAACTTGCTCCCTCTTTACCTACACCCTCTCCATCTGCTCCATCCCCCAGTCAGCCCCCTCCATATTCAGATACCTTATCCGTCTCATATACTTACACATGAATTACTTATGCCACTAGTACAGAGTCCTCATAAAATCTCAAAAATGTTTTGTCTCCCCACAAGGTGGCTAAAGGAGATTTGGAACAACTCAGAGTTCATGTTGCTTTTTCCATGTCTGATCTTTTGCAAATTCAATCCATGTTGTGTTCATTTAGCCAGGATGCCTCTAAATTCATACAAGAATTTCAGGTTTTAACTAACTATAGCCTTTGATTTAACCTGGCAAGACATATTTATGGTATTAACTATTTGCTGTTCCTATGAAGAAAAATCATGCATATGGTCTTTAGCTCGAGCTTGGGCAAATGAAGGTCATGCTCATAATTCCAATGATAATAGAGCCAGGGAAGAAGAAGTCCCCAGCACAGAACACAATTGGCAATACCAGGCCACTGATGCTCACCCAAACAGAGGCAGGGGCAGACAAGATTATATGATAACTCATTTGTTAGAAGGAATGAAAAAGGCTGCGATAAAACCTGTTAATTCTGCTAAATTATGAGAAATCATATGGGAGCCATTTAAGAACGTCACCATTTTCCAAGCTAGACTGGTGGAGGGCCTGAATAAATACCTAAATTTAGATCCCCAAATCCCTGATGGCCAATTCATTCTGGCCCTGCGTTTTATAAGTCAGGCTTCCCTAGACAACATACCAAAACTTCAAAAATTAGAGCAAGGCCCACAAACTCCCTCTCCTATTTCATTAAATGCAGCTTTTAAGGTTTTCTTTTTTTTTTCTTTTTTTTATTATACTTTAAGTTTTAGGGTACATGTGCACAACCTGCAGGTTAGTTACATATGCATACATGTGCCATGTTGGTGTGCTGCACCCATTAACTCGTTATTTAACATTAGGTATATCTCCTAAAGCTATCCCTCCCCCCTCCCCCCACCCCAAAACAGGCCCCAGTGTGTGATGTTCCCCTTCCTGTGTCCAAGTGTTCTCATTGTTCAATTCCCACCTATGAGTGAGAACATGCGGTGTTTGATTTTTTGTCCTTGTGATACTTTGCTGAGAATGATGGTTTCCAGCTTCATCCATGTCCCTACAAAGGACATGAACTCATCCTTTTTTATGGCTGCATAGTATTCCATGGTGTATATGTGCCACATTTTCTTAATCCAGTCTATCATTGTTGGACATTTGAGTTGGTTCCAAGTCTTTGTTATTGTGAATAGTGCCACAATAAACATACATGTGCATGTGTCTTTATAGCAGCATGATTTATAATCCTTTGGGTATATACCCAGTAATGGGATTGCTGGGTCAAATGGCATTTCTAGTTCTAGATCCCAGAGGAATTGCCACACTGACTGGCAGGAAACATCAAAAATAAAAAAGGCTCAATAGGAGAAGAAAAAAATGCAAGTAGAAAGCTAATTACATGATGATAACATTGGCACATTCTTTTTTGGTAGCTAATATCCCCAAGGCTTGTCCCCCTAACACTAACTGAATGGGGGCCAGACATAACTGCAGAAATCAAGGACACTGGAGTAGAGAATGTTTCAAACCTCCAGGTTACAAGCCACCACCCCTGGACCCTTTACTCATTGCAAACAAGATGGTCATTGAAAAGGCAAGTGTCCCTCCCTCCCATGTGGGGGGGGGACCTCTTCATTTTAGGTTGTGACAGTCAAAATCTAAAAACCTACCTGACAATGGGGTCCTACAGAACAAAGACAAGGGCAAGGGCAAGAACTTCTAACTCTATTCCTAGATTATAATCAAGCCTCTAAATATCATCTTCTAGATGACTAATGGGGCCTTAAGGCCATCCAGGTCCCTATCTTTTTCCACTCTATGAATAAGCTTTGGGTAAATTTAATTGTGGTTGAACAATTCTTATCACAGCTTCCCATCCTGAACATTTCTTTCCATACTGGTAAAATGGGAAATACTTCAATATTTGTACTATCATATGACTTCCCCTACTGTTTGTTCATACTTCTAAAATCAATGGAACTTTTTATATTTGTAATGTTACTCTTGGATGTATACCCTGTTATAATGATACTCATGTGGGTAATGTTAATCCATTTAAGGCCTTAGCCTCTGATAACCAAAACTCTGAATTTATCTTATCACTGTCAATTTAAGTCTTTAAACTGGACCAACATAGTAGGGCTTCCAATATTTACCATCCCTTGAACTCCTAATATCATTCATGTATGTTACCATAATTATATAAACAATGTGGGAAATAACCATTTCACCACTTATTCTATATCCTTTCTATTGCACAAAGACCTCCCTGGTTTTAAACCTCCCCCATCGGAACATAAACATAAATTTTTCTCTCACGTAAGACCTCTCAAAAACTGTCAAAACCTGTTTCCCTTTTCCCCAACATTTTAATTAAATCAATCACATTATGTTTCCCACCCTCCTTGGGTCTCATGGCTTTGAATAACTGCTAATAATTATTGAAACCCTCTTCAATGTTTGGTCCTATCCCAACTTGATAATTCCCTTCATTATGGTGATTTTACTCTGGGTACAGTAGCTTCCGCCCAAGTCACTGTCTTGAACATAACTTCTGATCTAGAATACTATTCTAGAAGAATAAGGGCCCTAGAATTTATTGTGGCTAGGGTCAAGGGAACTATCTCAAGTCTCACCCACTGGGGAGGTTTTAAGTACCATAAAATCACACTACAAGAACTTACCACCTTTCTTGAAGTGTCCTTAGCAAAAACTGCCTTAAGTCTATAGGCACTGGAAAAGTCTTTAGACTTACTAACAGGAATGGTTTTTAATAATAGATGACCTCTAGATTACCTCCTAGGTGAACAAGAAGTCTGATCTGTCATCAATAAAGCCTGTTGTACCAACATTAATGTGTCTGGAGAAGTGAAAACTAACGGCCAAGAAATTTTCAAATAAGCCAAATGACTACACACACTTTCTGAAGTAAGTAAAACTAGGCCAAAACCTTTACTGATTGGTTTCAAAAAATCACTTGGCTTCTCCCATTCCTTGCGCCTTTATTTCTCATCATTCTTTTAATATTTGGTCCCTGCCTTTTTAATGCTCATTAAGTTTATATTACCTAGATTACAACAATTCCAACTACAGATGTTTATGCAATCCCAACACCAGCCAGGAACAGCAATTTTCATTTACATGGGGCCTCCTGATGGAATCTGGTCTTCCCCACCACCTCCTGTGAACAAGATTTTCATGACCCTTCATTCTCTTCGTGACAGATAGCAAGAAACAACAATAACAAAATGCATCTTATCCTCCCAATGCACCCTTTTCAGCAGGAAGTAACCAGACAGTCTCAACACTCCTTTTCGCTATGCCATTTTCCCTTTCTTGAGACCCTACTAGGCAGCAGGTACATATGAGCATGGGAAAATACAAAGGGTCAAAAACTTGATGAACATATTTGTCAGGAGGAATATGCAGAGAGCAGAGATCACTTGGTGGCCATCAAGACAACCATCCAGGGGCAGAACTCCTTATCTGAGGAGTTCAGAAGTAATTATACTTTCCTATTATCTAAAACCTACATCCAGTACCAGATTTTTTTTCCCAAAATTTATAAGTCACTAGAATTTTTTTTTTTTTTTGAGATGGAGTCTCACTCTAGTTGCCCAGGCTGGAGTGCAATGGCACGTTCTCGGCTCACTGCAACCTCCACCTCCTGGGTTCAAGCGATTCTCCTGCCTCAGCCTCCCAAGTAGCTGGGATTACAGGCATGTGTCACCACACTGGGCTAATTTTGTATATTTAGTAGAGATGGGTTTTCAACATGTTGGCAGGGCTGGTCTCGAACTCCATACCTCAGGTGATCCACCCACCTTGGCCTAACAAAGTGCTGAGATTACAGGCATGAGCCACTGCACCCAGCTATAAGTTACTAGAATTTCTATACATCTCTGAAATGCAGGCATTTTGAAACTCATTGTGCAACCCTTGCTATTATCAAGGCACAAAAATGTCTGCAAACAACGTCATTTGCCATAACCCACGTAACGAACATTTTAAATTGCCGTTAAATTACTGCTTTAGCGTCCATAAATACCCCTAAGAAAAATCCACTATGGTGCGCTCAGTCCTCTCTTGCTGAAGCACCCCACTGCATGCAGCTGCAGCATTATTTATATCTAATAAACCTTTCTTTTTCAAACTTATACCATTGTTGGTAAATTCTTTTTACTACCTGCGAGCCAACCACTCTCCACTGCTGGGGCTCTGACACTTCACTTTGCACTCTCTATTGAATTTTTAAGTTCAGTTATTGTATTATTTAGAACTTTGATTATAATTTGGTACTTTTTCATGTTTTCTACCTTTTCTGAAATTCTCATTTTGTTCATATATTTCTCTCCCAACCTCCGTTTGCACCTTTAAGACTATTCTTTTGAATTCTCTGTCAGCTAAATCATATCTCTCCATTTAAGTAGCATCAGTTTTGGATATTGGAACATCCTTCACTGTTTTTGTTTTATTTCTCTTGGCTCTCCATGTTGGTTTCTGTGCTTCAGATAAGATGACTGCCTCTCCCCATCTTTTCAGATTGGCTTATGTAAGATATAAATCTCACCAATTATTTTGGCTATATATTCTAGGTGGCTTTTAAACCATTGAGCTTTTCCAGATCTGTGTCTTTATTCTTAGTGTACCCCAGGAAATTAAGATGTGCTATGCTTTATCAATGCCTTAAGACAGGTGAGACATTAACCATTCACTTGAGATGCAGGTAGAAATTTTGGGGTGTTAGATATGTGTTCCATTTTTTCGTCTCCTCAGTTAGAAGCTGGAAGCTTGAATTCATCTTCTCTTTTCTCTGTACGATGTCAGTAAGTTAATCTGTGGTAAATTCCTGCACTTACACTCAGATGTCACACGCTTTCAACATGTTGCTTTGCTCTTTATTGTTCCCAAGGGCCTGGAATATGCCTTCTCTGTCTGATCTCTGAGACAAGAGAGTTAACTGGAGCCTTGGCTATCTCTGGCATGAAGTGGCAGGAGGTATTGTGGGAGATGCCCACATGCCAATTCAAGGTCACCGAGGACTTTTGCTTGACTACTCCCTTAGCTCCCAGATGTAGGATAATTAGTGGCCTGACCAATAGACAGCAGCTGAAAAAATTTCGGTGTTTGGTGTGCAGTCAACCCCTTTCAGGTTGAAATTGGAAATGGATAATTTTTGTCTGTTTGCTTAGCATTGAGCCTAGGGTATAGCTGCTATCTTTTTGTGCTCTGTAGTCTAGAAAGACTCATAAATGAAGATCCCTTTCAACTCTCAGAAGTAGGCGATAAAGGAAGCAGTTCTTCAGGTGAGAGTTATAAAACTTCGAGTCATAACGCATGCTACATTCTTTCTAAGAAGAATCTGCAGACTTGTTTTTAATCACCAAAGAGAGTTGGAGGAGAAGGCATGAGAAGTGCCCATATGCCTTTTTAAAGACTCCCAGAAGACTATTGTTTACCTCCTCTGTCTGCTACCAGATAAAGGCTAGTTAGAAACCTGACTATTCCCTAACACATGGAAAGGGTGCAGACAAACCCCTTCTAGGAAAAAACAAAACAAAACTGGGAGGTGAAATTCTTTGCCTATTTTTTTCTGTGCTTTACCCTAAGGAATAGCCTCTGGCATTGCTAGTGTGTCCATTTAAAATCACATTATTCTCTAGGTCTATGGAGACTTGTAAATGCCAAGACTCTTTTGCTCCCAGAGCTAAGTGATGAAGGATCCAAATGGTCTGATAGAAACTGTAAAAGTTGTGGCACTGTAAATATGTGCACTGAACTCTTTATTTCTAAGGAAAAAAGGAAGCTGGGAATTGGAGATTTTTTTTTAACAATAGCAAGGCATTATATCCAGGGTGGGGTTTGTGGCAAGAATGTGTCTCAGATTTTCATATATGTTTCAATATGGATATTTTCTAATTTGCCTGGTGTGTAACAGTGAATTAGTTTCTGGCTTTTTCTCAGAGGTAATTAATCCACATGTAAATGTTTATTTGGTGCATCCATGGGGGCAAAAAATATCAGAAGCCTCTTATTTTACCATCTTGATGACATCCCTCTCAACGTCAATTATTATTCAACTCTCTCGAAAAAAAATTCTTCCAAATACATGTAACAAGGCCAATATCACCTAATACTAAAGACACACACACACACACACACACACACACACACACACACACACATTACAGGTCAATATTCCTGATGAAAATAGCTGAAAAAGCTCTCAACAGAATATTAAACTATCAGATTCAATGGTACATCAAAAGAATTGCACACCATGATAAAGTATGATTTATGCCTGGGATGGAAGTATAGCTCAACATAGGCAAATCAATCATGTGAGACACCACAAGAGCAGAATAAAGAATAAAGTTCATATGCTTATCTCATTAGATGTTAAAAAATACATTTGACAAAATTCAACACTTATTCAGCTTATAAACTTTTAGGAAATTAAGCATATAAGGAATTTACATCAACAAATAAAGACCATATATAAAACACTCACAGCAAATATTCATACCCAATAATTTAAAAAAGCTTTTTCTATAACACATGAATAAAGGCAAGAATGCCCACTCTCACCACTTCTATTCACTGTAGCACCAGAAGACCTAGCCAGAGCAATTATATTACATACAAATGCAGAAACAAACTATAGGCTGTCTATAATAAATTTGCTACAAATAGGAAGACATAGGTATGTAAATATTCAACAAATGGCAAAGGCTACAAACAAAATGAAAGAAATCTGAAATATATACATTAATCACAGATACACAGACCTCAGAACAAGAAAGAATATGTGTATAAAGTGAAACATTCAATAGTAAGAGGGTCAATCCTCTAAAATAACTTAATTCTAAAAATGTGTATGGCTCTTAAAACAAATAAGCTTTGACACCAGAAGAGAAAAAAAATACATATGAAAATACAAAAAATAAAATCTACAATTACAGGACCTGCATTAACTAATGTGCGTACACCTCACCTCACTGCCACGGCTACTGGCATGTGCAAGGGAGAATGGATCCCGCTGTCACTGCCCTGATGAAGTGGCTTGGCTGGAATCACCCATCAGAGTGTTGTGGCCAGTGGACTGGGGACATTTCAGCTTCTCTAGCACAACAGGTTTATAATCTCAAGAGGAGAATAAAAAAGTCGGGGGCCTGATAATGGCCCCCCAGTGTTAGAACATGTAGCCCGTGAGTACTGACCTGAGCTTTGGCACCTTAAAATCTTCAAGAAAAAATGTCAGTTGACTGAACCCACATTGTACCACAATCAAACCTCTAAGGCCATCAAAGAAAATATAAGCAAAAAAAAAAAAAAAAAAAAAAAATCCAAAGGACAACAACTTCAAAATTGAAGAAACAAATGCCAACACAGATAAGAAAGAACCAGCACAAACACTCTGGCAACTCAAAAAGCCAGAGTATCTTCTTATATCCAAATTACCACACTAGTTCCCCAGAAATGGTTCTAAACCAGGCTGAAGTAGCAGACATAGAAATTCATATATATATTAGAATGAAGATAATTGAGATTCAGGAGAAAGTTGTAACCCAACTGAAGAAACCAGAAAAATACAATAAAATAATATAGTAGCTGAAAGATGAAATGACTCTTAAGAAAGAACCAAACTGAGCTGGTAGAGCTGAAAAACTTACTTTAAGAATTTTATAATACAATAGCAACTATTAATAGCAGAATAGACCAAGCTGAAGAAAGAATCTCAGAGCTTGAAGTCTAGTTCTCCAAATTAACTCAGTCAGACAAAGATGAAGAAAAAATGATAGAATAAACAAAATATCTGAGAAATATGAGATTATGGAAAGAGGCAAAATCTGTTATTCATTGGTATCCCTTAAAGAGAGAAAGAGAAATAAAGCAACATAAAAAATCATATATGAGGCTATCGTCCATGAAAATTTCTCCAACCTCACTAGAGAGGCCAATATTTAAATTCAGGAAGTAAAGAGAACCCCTGAAAGGTACTGCACAAGATAGCCGTCCCCAGGACACATAGTCATCAGATTCTCCAAGTCTGAAATGAAAAAGAAAAGATTAAAGGCAGATAGAGAGAAGAAGCTGGTCATTTTCAAAGGGAATCCCATCATGCTAACAGTACATTTTTCATTAGAAGCCCTACAAGCAAAAATAAATTAGGGACCTATATTCAGCATTCATAAAGAAAACAAATTTCAGCCAAAATTTTTATATCCAGCCAGACTATGCTTCCTGTGTGAAGGGGAACAAAGATCATTTTCAGCGAAGAAAGTGACAAAGTAATTTCTAACCACTAGATTTGCCTTACAAAGAACCCTAAAGAAAGTCCTAAGCATGGGAAGGTAAGACCATTACATTCCACCACAAAATCACACTTAAGTCCATAGACAATTGACATTCTAAAGCAACTAGACATTCATGTCTATGTAATAACCAGTTCACAACATGATGACAAGATTAAATCCACACAAATCAATATAAACCTTGAATGTAAATAGGTTAAATTTTCCAATTAAAAGGCACAGACTGGCAACTTGGATGAAGAAACAAGATGTAATCGAATGCTGTCTTCAAAAGATGCATTTCACACGTAATGGCATTCATAGACTCAAAATAAAGAGATAGACATAACTATTCCAAATATATGTGCACCTAACACAGGAGCACCTAGATTTATAAAACAAGTTGTAGGGACATACAAGGAACTTAGATAACCATACAATAATAGTGGGAGAATTTACACCCCACTGACAATATTAGATGGATCATCTAGACAGAAAACTAACAGATATTCAGAACCTTAAACAAGCGGGCCTAACAGATGTCTACAGAACCCTCCACACAGAAACAATGGAATATACACTATTATCTTATGCATATGGCACATACTCCAAAATTGCCATAAGCAATTCTCAGCAAATTAAAAAAATAATAATAACAACCACACTCTTGGACTACAGTCCAATAAAAATAGTGATCAATACTAAGAAGTTGGCTAAAAAGCATACAATTAAATGAAAGTTAAACACCTGCACCTTAAGGACCTTTGAATAAACAATAAAATTAAGGCAGAAATAAAAAACATTTAAAATTAATAGAACAAATATACAACATACCAAGATCTCTGGAACACAGATAATTCAGTGTTAAGAGAAAAGCTTACAGTGTTAAATGCCCACATCGAATAGTAAGTTAGAAAGATCTCAAATGAGCAACCTACCATCACACTTAGAGGAACCAGAAGAACAAAATAAAACAAATTCTAAAGCTAGCATAAGACAAGAAATAATCAAAATCAGAGCTGAGCTACATGAAATAGAGATGCAAAGAAAAAATGTATAAAAGATCAATGAATCCTG
Source organism: Homo sapiens (assembly GCF_000001405.40). Lineage (NCBI taxonomy): Eukaryota > Metazoa > Chordata > Mammalia > Primates > Hominidae > Homo > Homo sapiens. The sequence goes on along the minus strand of NC_000023.11, from coordinate 82,256,909 downwards.
GACTTGGTTCTTTGAAAGTATAAATAAGGTTAATAGACTATTAACTAGACTAATAAAGAAAAAAAGTGAGAGGATCCAAATAAACACAATCAGAAATAACAAGGGGACATTTGCTCTGACCCCACTAAGATACAGAAAAAAAAAACCCTCAGAGAATAATGCAAACACCTCAATGTGCAGAGAGTAGAAAACCTACAAGAAGTGGATACATTCCTGGAAACATAAAACATCTCAAGATTGAAATTAATGAATTGAATCCCTAAACAGACAAATAATAAGTTCTGAAACTGAATCAGTAATAAAAAGCCTACCAACAAGGAAAAGCCAAGGACCAGAAGCTATCACAGGTGAATTCTACCAGATACATAAAGAAGAGCTGATACCATTCTTACTAAAACTACTCCAAAGATTGAGAAGGAGGGACTGTTCTGCAACTCATTTTAAAAGGTTAACATAATTGTGATACCACAAAGTTGTAAAGCCAAAACAAAACAAAACAACACATTAGGCCAATATCCTTGATAAACAGAGATGCAAAAATCTTCAAGAATATACTAAGAAATTAAATCCAGCAGTACATCAGAAAGCTAATCCACCTAAACCAGGTAGGCTTTATTCCTGGAATGCAAGGTTGCTTCAACACATGAAAATCAATAAGTGTGATTTATTACATAAATAGAACTTAAAAGTAAAAAATAGATGCTAATATCAATAGATGAAGAAAAAATCTTTATTATAATTCAACATCCTTCATGTTAAAAACCCTCAAAATCTAGGTATCAAAGAAACATACCTCAAAATAATGATAAGTCTATGACAAACTCACAGCTAACAACATGCTGAATGGGCATAAGCTGGAAGCATTCCCCTTGAGAACTGAAACAAGACAAGGATGCCTACTCTCACCACTCTTATTAAACACAGTACTAGAAGTTCCAGATGGGACAATCAGGCAAGAGAAAGAAATAAAAGGCACCCAAATAGAAAGAGAGAAAGTAAAACTATCTCAATATGCAGGTGATATGATTCCTTACTTAGAAAATCTTATAGTTTCTGACCAAAAGCTCCTAGATCTGTTAAACAACTTCAGCAAAGTTTCAGGATACAAAATTAATGTATAAAAATCAGTGATATTTTATATACCAATAATGTCCAAGCTGAGAGCCAAATCATGAAAGCCATCCCATTCACAATAGCGATAAATAGCGTAAAATACCTAGAAATACAGCTAACTAGGGAGGTGTAAAATCTCTACAATGAGAATTACAAAACACTTCTTAAGGAAATCAGAGATGATACAAACGAATAAATAAACTTACCATGTTCATGGATAGAAATAATATTGTTAAAATGGACATACTACTGAAAGTAATTTACAGATTTAATGCTCTTCCTATTAAACTAACTCTGATATTCTTTGCAAAATTAGAAAAAAGAGCTATTTAAAAATTCACATGGAACCAAAAAAAGCCTAAATAGCCAAGGTAATTCTAAGCATAAAGAACAAAGCCGGAGGCATAACATCATCAAAATTCCAATTTGTAGTACAAGGCTGCATTAACCAATATAGCATGGCACTGGTACAAAAACAGACACATAGGCCAATAGAGCAGAATAGAGAGGCCAGAAATAAAGCTGCACACCTACAACCATCAATCTTTGACAACGTTGACACAAGCAGTCAACGAGGAAAAGATTGCCTGTTCAATGAATGGTGCTGAGATAACTGGATAGCAATATGCAGAAGATTTACACTGGATTCCTTTCTTACACCATATACAGAAATCAACTCAAGATAGATTAAAGACTTTAATATAAGACCTAAAACTATTAAAACCCTGGAAGGTAACCTAGGAAATACCATTCAAAACATAATCTGGCAAAGATTTTATAAAGGCAGTGCCATAAACAACAGCAACAAAAACAAAAATTGACAAGTGGGACCTAATTATACTAAATAGCTTCTGCACAGCAAAAGAAACTATCAATAGAGTAAACAACCTAAAGAATGGAAGAAAATATTTGCAAACTATGCATTCAACAATGATCTAATATTCATAATCTATAAGAAACTTAAACAAATTAACAAGGAAAACCATAGAACTCCATTAAATAGTGGACAAAGGACATGAACAGACATACATGTAGCCAATAAGCACAAGAAAAAAAATACTCAATATTGTTAACCATTAAGGAAATGCAAATAAAAACACAATGAGATACCATCTCACACAAGTCAGAATGACTGTTACTGAAAAGTCAAACAGTAACAGATGTCAGTGAGGTTGCAGAGAAAAGGGAACACTAATACACTGCTTGTGGGAATGTAAATTAGTTCAGCTATTGTGGAAGGCAATTTGGTGATTCCTCAAAGAACTTAAAACAGGAACTGCCATTTGACCTAGCAATCTCATTATTGGGTACATAACCAAAGCAATATACATCATTCTGTTATACAGGCACGTGCATGCATGTGTTCCTGTTAGCGCTATTTACAATAGCAAAGACATGGACTCGAACTAAATGCCCATCAATAGTAGGCAGGATAAAGAAAATGTAGTACATATACTATGAACTACTATGCAACCATAAAAAAAATGAGCTTATGTATTTTGCAGCAACATAAATGGAATGAGCTTATGTATTTTGCAGTAACATGAATGGAGCTGGAGGCCATTATTCTAAGTGAGCTAAAGCAGAAACAGAAAACAAAATACCACATGTTCTCACTTATCACTTACCCAGTATTTAGCTTCCACTTGGACGCAATTAACAGAACAACAGACCATGTCCTACTTGAAGTTGGAGGGTGGGAGAAGGATGAATATCTAAAAAATCTGCCTATCAGGTATTATGCTCATTACCCAGATTATGAAATAATCTGTACACCAAACCCTCGTGTCATGCAATTTACCTATGTATAAAACCTGCACATATACCTCTAAACTTAATATAAAAATTAAAAAAACTCTACGACTACAGTTGAAGAGTTTAAAACTTCTCTCTCAGTAATTGATAAAACAAGTAGGTAGAACATAAGTAAGTATATAAATAAAATAAAAATACTATTAACAAATTTGATCTAATTTATAGAATATTCCCTTCAACAGCAGAATGCATATTTTCCTCAAGTGTATATGGAATATTCACCAAGATAGACCATGTCATGATTGATAAGAAAAACCTAAACTTTTTAAATTAAAATTGTCCAATGTGCATTTTCTGACCATAATAAAATTAAACTAAAAAATTAGTAACTGAATAAATTTGAAAACATGAAAGTATTTGATAAGTAAACAATGCATTTGTAAATTATCTACGGGTCAAAAAGGAAGTCTAAAAAATTTAGAAAATATATTTTGACTAAATGAAAATAAAAACACAATACATCAAAAATCAATGGAAGAAATATATACCATTAAGTGTATATATTAGAAAAAATAAATATATAATTTGAAGAACCTTGCCCAAATTTAAATGGAAATCAAAAGCAAATTGTGTCAAATGCAAATAGAAAGATAAAAATACAAATTAACACAGAAGTAAATGAAATTGAAATCATAAAACCGACAGAGAGAATTAATAAAACCAAAAGCTGATTATCTGAAAAGATAAAATTAATAAGCTTCTTTTCAGGCTAACCAAAAAGCAAAGAAAAAATGCACTTTACCAAAAACAAGAATTAAAGAGGGAACATTGCTGCTGATCTTACTGATATTAAATGAGTAAGAGAATAATGTTAATAACCCTATTCTCATAAATTTGAAAACATAGCAAAATATTTTTATTGGTAAATTTCATGAAAAATTTAAACAATAAATTTACATAATATGCCATAAGTTTACATAATGTCATCTACAAAATAGAATAAGAAAGTACACATTCAGATTTATTTTTTCAGTTTATATTTTTCTAATATCAAAGCCAGATAACTACACAAGAACGACAACGACAAAAAACTATAGACTAATATCTCTTATGAAGAATCCCTAACAAAATATTAGGTATTGAATTCAAAAATCCCTAACAAAATATTAGCAAAGAAAATCTGGCAATATACAAAATGCATAATACATCATAACCATGTGGGATTTAGCCTTAGAATCAAGCTTCATTCAATATTTAAAACACAATTGACATAATCTATCATATTAACTAAGAAATAGCACAAAATCATATCAATAGATGTTGAAAATATTCAACAAAATTTAGTACCCACTCATAATAACAATTCTCAGCCATGGAATACAAGAGAACTTCCTTAACCCAATAGAGACTGTATTCAAAATATTATGGCTCACATTATACTTGATGACAGATGGGATGCATTCTTTTAAAATCTGCACCACGACAAAATATCCTCGCTTCCCATTCCTATTTAACATTTTACTGGAAATCCTAAGTTGTACAATAGAGAAAACAATCAAATGTGTAGACTGCAATGTATAAAATAGTTTTCTTTATTAGCAGACTAAATGATTCTATTGGTAGAATATGTTGAAGAATTTACAAATCACACAGACACTTCCAGAGCTGGTAAGGAAGTTTAACAAATTTATGTAAGATGAAGTTAACATATACAAAATCAATCTTATTCATCCATGTCACCAATAAACAACTGGAACATGATATTTAAGAGATAACATTTTTAGCAGCACCAATTAATAAATTCTTATAATTTTATACTGCATCGATATTCCTTTGAATGTAAGTTTAACTTTCTCCTATCACAAGGAGGGATTAGTCACCCGGCACGCAGTATCGTTTTCTACCTCCTTCTCCACCCCTAGTTCTTTAATGCTGCTAATCCAGACATCTGCCTTATACAACTGCCTCCTGGTGATGCTCTCTCACTGGGAAAGCTATACACAACCTACCTGACAAACCCCACTGACCCCTGACAACTTCCCATATATTGCACAGATATACCACCGTAACTATCTCTCACTCACATAGTAACTCTATGGAATTTCTGCTTGCTTGCTTTAAACCCATCAATTAGAATTCCTGGCAATAAACCTCACTGGATAATGCCCCAGATACCAAAAAAGACCTCAGCCCGCAAGTTCTTCTCATTCTGGCTTCTAACTCCAAGTTGGGCATGTTGCCCCTGTTACTTTCCCACCAGCTTTTGTCAGCACCCTTCTTCTCTCATGGCCTGTAAATAATAAACTACTTTTGTCATTTTATGTATATTTTGTTCCATTGGCTCCTCTGTGTCTCAATCAATTGATTCACCCAGACCTAACTTTTCTCCCAGTCAAGGCTCTCCTAGGCAGGAATAAACCGGACACCTGTAAGACAAGATCCAAAAGGGCATCTGTCAGGAAACATAAGTTTCTTGAGGTGGATATCTAGTCACAGATCAGACAATTAGGCATTACACTGTCTATCAGAATAAAAAAAATTCAGTGAAAGACATATTATATAATACATACATAACCACAACCCTTTGAGCCTCATCAGGAAAGGACTAGAGTTTATGGCTATTCTCCAGAGAGAGACCTCAAGACCAAATGGAAACGCACACACGTGTATGTGTGTGTGTGTGTGTATATGTGTGTGTGTGTGTACATATAAAGCCTGAAGTACCTATATATAAATTCAGAAAAATATACAGCTACAATAGTAAAAAAGCAGCATTGGTAAAAGATTAGACACATAGGTCAATGAATCAGAATAGAGAGCTCAGAAATAGGCCCACAAAAATATAGTCAGCTGATTTTTTTTTACAAAGATGCAAAAGCAATTCAACAGAGAAAGAATAGTCTTATAAACTTTGACGCCAAACAACTGGACTTTGATATACAAAAATATAAACCTCGACACGTACCTCACACTTTATACAAAAAATGACCAAAATGGATCATAGACCGAATTTAAAATTTTAAAATATAAACCTTTTATAACAAAAATAGAAAAAAATCGCCATGATTTAAAGCTCTGTAATGTTTATCCATACAACACCAAAACATAATTCATTAAAGAAATCTCGTAAATTGGTCTCCATCAAAATTAACATCTTTTGCTCTATGAAAAAATCCTATAAAAAGAATAAAAGGACAAACCACAGACTATGATACAATATTTGTAAATTATATTTCAAATTTATTTAAAGAGGAGTTAGAAAGAATGCATAAATAACATTTGAATGCCTCAATAATTTTAAAAAGGCAATGCAATAACAACTGAGCGAAGTATTTGGACAATCCCCTCACCAAAGAATATATATGAGATAAATGGATGGCAAATAAGCATATGGAAAGATGTTCAACGTTATTTATTATTAGGAAAATGGATATTAAAACATAGTGAGATGCCACTACTTACTTATTAAAATAATTAGAATTTATAAAGCTGATCAAATCAATTGCTGGCAAGGATGTAGGGCAACAGGACCTCTCATTCCCTTTTGGTCAAAATGCAAAATAAAAATAACACATCCACTTTGGAAGATAGTTTGACTATTTTTTATAAGTTAAACCTTGATTTACCATAGGTATTCGTCAGCTTGGGTTGCTGTAAAAAATACCAAAAACTGGGTGCTTAAATATAGATATTTCTTTCTCACAGTTCTGGAGACTGAGACATTCAAGATTTAGGTGCTGGAACATTTGGTTACTGGTGAGGGTCCTCTTCCTGGCTTCCAGATGGCCACTTTCCATATTCTTGCTGTGTCCTCACATAACAAAGAAAGAGAGAGCAAGCGAGAAAGAGTAAGAGTGATCTTCTCTCTCTCTTTTCATAAGGGCACTCATAAAAGCTCCAACTTAATGAGTTCATCTAAATCTATTTGTCTTCCAAAAGTCCAACCTGCAAATACCATCTCATTGGGGAGTGGGGCTTTAATATGTAGATTATGGTGCAACACAAACATGCAGTCATTAACACTACACAACACAATAACCACATTTTTAGATATTTAACACCAGAAAAAGGAAAAAGTGGTTCACACCAAAAACCTATACAAAAGTTTATAGCAGTTTCATTCATGACTAAAATATGTGATATGGTTTGGCTGGTACCACCCAGATTTGGTACCCACCCAAATCTTATCTTAAATTGTAGTTCCTATGATCTCCAAATGTGGTGGATGGGACCCAGTGGGAGGTAATTGAATAAGGGGGGTGGTTATCCCCATGCTTTTCTCATAATAGTGAGTTCACAAGAGATCTGATGGTTTTATAAGGGGCTTTGCATCCTTTGCTCAGAACTTCTCCTTCCTGCTGCCTTGTGAAGAAGGTGCTTGCTTCCTCTTCACCTTCAGTCATGATGGTAAGTTTCCTGAGGCCTCCCCAGCCATGCTGAACTGTGAGTGAATTAAATCTTTTTCCTTCATAAACTACCCAGTCTTGTGTATGTCTTTACAGAAGCATGAGAACAGACTAATACAATGTGACAACAACCAAGATAGCCTTCAAGAAGTGAGTTGATAAGCATACTTATTACATACAATAAAATACCATTCAGCAACAAAAAGAAATAGGTATTGATTAACACAAAAACATGGATGAATCTTAAATGCATTTTCCTAAGTAAAATATTTCTGACCCCAAATGCTATGAATTATATTGTTTCACTCTTATGACACCCTAGAAATGGTAAAACTATAGGCATACCTGGGAGGTGTTGTGGTTTTGGTTTCAGACCATGGCAATAAAGCAAATATTGCAACTCAGCAAGTCACTTAAATTTTATTATTTCCTAGTGCATATAAAAATTATGACTACACTATACTATAGCCTATTAAGTGTGCAAATAGCATTTTGTCTAAAATGTACATACCTTAATTAAAATATTTTATTGTTAAAATTCTAATAAAGTGAACACATGCAGTTAGAAAAATGGTGCTGATAGACTTTTCAAAGCAGACTTGCCACAAACTTTCTATTTGTAAAAAAAAAAAAAAAGAAAGAAAAAAAGCAGCGTATGCAAAGCACAATAAAGCAAAGTACAATAAAACTAGGCATGCCTGTACAGGGACAACAGCAAAAACAATAAAAGATCAGTGATTGCCTTGTTTGGATTGAGCAGGGAATAATTAGACTAAAAATGGTATGAGTGAGCAAAGGGAATTTTATTGTGATGCAAGTATTCCAATATATGGTACTAGGATGGAGAATACATGACTCTATATATTATTTTTTGTCAAAACCTGTAGCACTGTAGATATTAAGTAATAATAAACTGTAATATGTACAAATTACATAAAATTCCAACAAAATATTGGGGAATTCCAGAACAGAATTCAGCAAGTTGCAAATAAATCTGTCTTGCATATATATGATACAAGTTTATACCCAATAATCAAACTTTTATAAACACTCTAAAAGAAGTTGGGAAAATAAGAGTTGACATAACTTTGGAAAATGGTGTTTTGACTTGGAACTATAAGAATAAAAACAAAAGGAACTATACAATAACATTGTACTTTACTTTGTAAATTTGTTTTTTATAGAGATACAGCTTAACAATTCTAAAATTGATTTACGTATATACTGAGGTAGGACAAACAGGTAAATGAATTACATATGAAGAAGCAAGTTTTCTCACTGGAACAGAGAAGTTACAGGTAAAAAAAAAAAAAAGCAGAGACTAGAATAAACTCTGCAATACTGGTGTAGAGTCAGAGACATCAGTATGAATTTCTACTTAGTTTAATAAATATAATAACGCTAGATAACAAAACAATTGTAAATTAACATATGTATGTGTGTGTGTTTGTACGTAAATAATATACATCTATATAAAATCTAGCACTGTTTGCTGAGGAGATTAACAAGTAATTACTCCCCAGAAACAGCAAACATCCTCCACTGCCCAGATCTCGATCTCTAAATGCCATTCTCTGATAAAAAGAACCACAGCTTCATGTAACAAGGGTTGATTCTAGAGCTTAGTAAGGAAAATCAAAAGATAAAACTAGGTTCTAGATTGTACTGCTAAAAACATAGAAATACTGAAAAAAACTCAAAAGAATATGGGCATTTTAAAAGCACACAGGAGCAAACTAAAAGAATTTTCAATAGCTAAAGCTGGAAAAAAGTTGATCCATAAACTCATAACACTGTATTGAGTGACTACCTAAATTATAGAATAAAAATATATGAATCCATATTTTTATAACAAAATGAGTAGGTAAACAAGAGAGAAGAGACAAATTTTTCTTATAGAAGAATTTCAAATTATATATACAGATATATTCCTGTAAAGGATATAGTTTACCCCTCCCACTTTGTTGTCTCAATTTAGTAATCTTCCAAAAACTTTATAGTGGAGATACATGGCAAACACCATTGTGTTAGTCCGTTCTAACACTGCTACAAGAACTACCGGAGACTGGGTAATTTATGAAGAAAAGAGGTTTAATTGACTCACAGTTTGTCAGGCTGCACAGGAAGCATGACTGGGTGTCCTCAGTAAACTTAACAATTATGGTGGAAGGTGAAGGGGAAGCAAGTACATCTTACCATGGTGAAACAGGAGAGAGAGAGGGAAGGGGGAAGTAAGTGCTACACACTTTTAAACAACCAGATCTCATGAAAACTCACTCAGTATCACAAGAACAGCAAAGGGGAAATCCGCCCCCATGAGGTGCCTCCACCAACATTGGGAATTACAACTGGACATGAGATTTGGATGGGGGCACAGAGTCAAACCATATCAACCATCTTAACCAGGTGGCCAATATTAACTATACAAATGAAGTCACAAATATCATGAACCACTGATGTGATAAAAAGAGTACTTTGTCTATATAATATCCATTCAAAAATAATTGTTAGCATGAGAAAAATATTAAAAATTTCAATTCGAGTGATGTTACACCAAACACATAACCAATATTTCTCAATATAATAAAGGTTATAATAAACAATAAAAATAATATTGTGAAACAGTCACACACTAGAAGAAACTACAAATACATGAAAACTAAATTCAATGTGATATCCTGGATTGAATCCTGGAACAGAATAATTGTATCAATGAAGAAATTGTACATTTAAATAAAGTCTGGAGTTTAGTTAATAGCGAAGTACAAATATTGAAATTTAAGTTTTGATAAATATACCACAGTAATGTGAAATGATAATCAAAAAGCACATTGGGTGAGAGTATAAGGAAATTTTTCTATCTATATTTGAATTACTTGTAAAGCTATAGTTATTCAAAAATGAAAAGGTATTTTATAAATATTATTAAAAAGAGTGATCGATATATAAAATTTCTAAAATCTGAAAAATGTACTTAAGAATATTTTGAAGAAAAATTACAAAACTTCATTGAAAGACATTATTACATGTTAATGAGTTTTATATGATTTTATTTGTTTTATAGGAAGACTCAGTATCTAAAATGTCTGTAACCTCCTATTTAATATATAGGGATTTTTAATATACAAGATGTAAATCAAACAGCCAACAACATTTTTTATGAAACTTGTCAAGTTGATTATAAAACCTATATTGAAGAATAAAGGCCTGAAAGCATTTGAGACAGTCCTTGAGGACAAAGTACAAAGGGGAGTCAATTTTTAAAATCATATAACAAGTATAAAAATTATGCCAATGTAAGCTTTGAACAACAATGGTTACAGCTGACCTATGTAATTATTGGTGATTGAATAATTAGATATGAATATGCAAAAAGTATTTGAGCCTCCTTCATCACATATACAAACAACAAAATATATATTAACATTATATTACACGATGTATATTCATAATATATAATAACATATGTAATATAAATTATTTACATACTAAAATATAAATGTAATAATATATACAAGTTTTAGATGGCAATTTAAGAGATAATTTTATAAAGGTTGGATTGTCTTTTTGAGCAAGAAGCACAAATGTTAGAAGATGTAAACTCTTTAATATTAAACATCTCTCTTCATCACAAAAACTATAAAGTTAAGAGTAAGCCAAAAATTTATGAAAGGTAGTTATATCATAACAAACAAAAAATATTACTATCCACTACAAATTGGTCAGCAAACTATAAACAACTCAACAGAAAAATGGGTAAAGGGACAGGCATATAATATTAAAAAAAGAAATGACACAATAATTAAAACAATATAATTAGTAATCAAAACATAATTGATATATTTGTTTACATTTAACAGGCACAAATGCAGTTTTGTTATAAGGATATATTGTTTCACGGTGAAGTCTAAGCTTTTATTGTAAATATTACCCAAATAATGTATCTTTTACTCATTAAGCAATTTCTCATCCCTCATCTTCTCTCAGCCTCTCACTCTTCTGAGTCTTCAATGTTTATTATTTCACACTCTAAGTCTATGTGTACATATTATTTAGCTTCCACTTGTAAATGAGAACATAAAGTATTTGACTATCATCTGTTTCTGAGTTGTTTCATTTAAGTTTACTGCCTTCAGTTTCATCCATGTTGTTGCAAAATACATTACCTATATCTTTTATATGGCAAAATAATATTTCACTGTGTTTATACAGCACATTTTCTTTGTCCATTCATCTGCTGATGGACACTTAGTTTTATTCTTTTGGGTAGGTACACAGTAGTGGAACTAGTGGATTGAATGACAGTTGTAATTTTAGTTCTTTGAGAAATCTCCACACTGTCTTTCATAGATGTGCTAATTTACATTCCCCAAAATAGTGTACTAGTGTTGCTCTAGAACAATGTACAGATGAATTTTGCCTAGGTTTTTATCTAGTATTTTAACAGTTTAAAATCTTATATTTAAGTTTTAACCCATGTTGTGTTGATTTTTGTATATGATGAGAGATAGGGGTTCAGTTTCACTTTTTTGCATATCACCATCTAATTTTTCTAATACTATTTATTTAAAATGGTGTACTTTCCCCAATATATAATTCTTTCAAATTTGTGAAAAGTTAGTTAGCTGTAGATATGTGGCTTTATTTTTAGGTTCCTGATATAGTTTGGATATTCGTCCCTGCCCAAACATCATATGTAATTATCATCTCCAATGCCAGAGAAAGGTCCTAGTGGGAGGTGCCTGGGTCATGGGAGGTGAATCCCTCATGGCTTGGTGCTGTCTTTGTGATAATTCGTGGGTTCTTGTCTTTTAAAAATGTGCAGCACCTCCTCTCTCTCTCTCGTTCTCTCTCCCACCATATGCGATGACTGCTCCCCTTTCACCTTCTGCCATTATAGTAAGCTTCTTGAGACCTCCCCAGAGGCCAAGAAGATGTCTGCACCATACACCATACTTCTTGTAAAGTCTGCAGAACCATGAGCCAATTAAACCTCTTTTCTTTATAAATTACCCAATCTTAGGTATTTTATTATGGCAACACAAGAATGACCTAATACAGTTCCCTATTCTGTTCCATAATCCAAATGTCTATTTTTATGCTGGTACCATGCTGTTTTGGTCATAATAGACTTGCTATAGTAACTATGTAATTTGAGGTCAGGTATATAATTTGAAGCTATATAATTTGAGGTCAGGTAATGTGATGCCTCCAGCTTTGCTCCTTTTGCTTAGCATTGCTTTGGTATTTGGGCTCTTTTTTGGTCCCGTATACGTTTTATAATTTTGCTTTCCAATTCTGCAAAAGATGATGTTAGTATTTTGATGGGGTTGGATTGACATAGCGATGTCAATCTGTAGACAGCTTTGGACAGTACGATCATTTTAATTATATTAATTTATTTTATATATGACCATAAAATATTTTTCCATTTGTTTGTGTCATTTACTATTTCTTTTATAAGTGAAATTTTTTATTTTATCTCCTTGATTAACTGTTTTCCTGGGTACCTTTTCTTGTAACTGTTGTAAATGGAATTGCTTTTTTGATTTGGTTCGCAGCTTGATCATTACTGGTATATAGTAATATTACTGATTTTTGCACACTGATTTTTATATCCTGAAATTTTACTGAATTCATTAATCAAATCTAAAAGTTTTTTGAGGAGTCTAATATTTTATCTGTATGAGATTATACTGTAAATGAACAAAGATAATCTGACATCCCCTTTTCCAATTTATATGCTTTTTATTTCTTTTCTTTCTGATTGCTCTAGCTAAAACTCCCAGTAAAATACTGAGTAACAGTGGTGGTAGTGGACATCCTTGTCTTGTTTTAATTCTTAGTGAGACTGCCTTCAAATTTGTTTTATTCATTATGATACTGGCTGCGTGTTTGCCATATTTGGTCTTTATTATTTTGAGGTATGTTCCTTCTATGTCTAGTTTATTAAGGGTTTTTATTATGGAGAGATGCTGAATTTTATCAAATGCCTTTTCTGCATCTCTAGAGATGATCATATGGTTTTGGTTTTTATTTCTGTTTATGTGGTGAATCACATTTATTGATTTACATATGTTGAGACAACCTTGTATTCCTGGAATAAAACCCATTTGATCATGATACATTTTTGATATAATGTTGGATTCAGTTTGCTAGTATTTTCTTGAGGATTTCTGCATCTATGTTTATCAGGGATACTGGTGTTTAGTTTTACACATTATTTTCTTTGTTTTTTCCTTGCCTGTCTTTAGTATTAGAATGATACTGACTTCATAGACTAAGTTAAGTAGGATTATCTTCCGAGATTTTTGGAACAGATTGAAGAGCAGAAGTACCAGTATTTTATACATTTGGTGGAATTCACCTGTGAATCCATCTGGTTCTGGGCTTTTTATTTATTGATAATTTTTTAAATTGCCAATTCAATCTCATTGCTTATTATTGGTGGTTCAGGATTTCTATTACTCCCTCATTTAATTTGATAGGCTGTATGTTTCCAAGGACTTGTTCATTTTCTCTAGGATTTTTTGTTTGTGAGCATAGAGTTGTTTATAGTAGTCTCTGATAATATTTGGTATTTCCGTAATATTGCTTGTAATGTTTATTTTTAATATTTCTACTTATGTTTATTTCAATCTTTCTTCTCCTTTTTTGGCTATACTAATGAGTTTTTTATGTTTTCAAAGAACCAACTTTTCATTTTATTAACCTTTGTAAAATTGTTTTCTTATCACAATTCTATTTTTTTCTTCTCTGATATTTATTTTTTTTCTTCTGATAAATTTGGACTTGGGCTATTGTTGTTTTTATGATTTCTTTGGGTTTTATGCTAGATTGTAAATATACAAAACAGTATGAGGTCAAGATGTGATCTTGGAAATTAAACATATAGCAGCTGAAACTAAAAGAAAATAAATTAAAAGTTTGGTATATAAATTATCACCATAAATGTAGAACAGAAAGACAAAAATATAAAAATAGAAGAGAAAACTCACATATAATTTAACATAAAGTTCAATATTTATACACTATTCTTATAAATAATAAAGCTAATTGTAAAACAAATATCTCTATTTTCTGTTTTTTCTTTCTCTCTCTCTTTCTTCCTCTCTCTCTCTCACACACAACACATACATACAGGCACAGAATCTTGTAGAAATAAAATACATGATTTTCCTATTGAAAAGTCCTAATATTTAAGCAAAATAACCGTAACAGCTAAAGGAAAGGACTACAGCAATGTTCATCATCATTGCATTTTTAGTTAAAGAGAATTTTATTCACTTCCAGAAATGAGACAATAAAACCTATCCTTTATCAAGACACAAATAGTATGATACTGAATTTCTTAACAGTAGAAGCAAAAAACAATAGAGCAAAATCTTCCAAATTTAAGAGAGAAATTATTCATATTTTAAAGTTCAATGCTAAACAATTCAATTGTGAGAGTAGATCAAAACAAATTCTTCATTTGTAGATTCTCAGAAAATGAGTACTTTTTTACAAAGCACATGGAGGATATGATATGTTCTTCCAAAATTAGGAGAAAATAAACAAAGTTGATATCACGGAGACAGGAGATTTATTACAGGAGAGATGCAAAATGAATTTCTAAGATGCTGGTGAAGGTATGCCATGTGATCATAACTGTGCAATAGACCCGTATTAGTCTGTTTTCATCCTGCTGATAAAGACATACCCAAAACTGGGGAAAAAAGGTTTAATTGAACTTACAGTTCCATATGGTTGAGGAGGCCTCAGAATCATGTCAGGAGGCAAAAGGCACTTCTTACATGGTGGTGGCAATAGAAAATGAGGGAGATGCGAAAGCAGAAACCCCTGATAAAACCATCAGATCTCGTGAGACTTATTCACTACCATGAGAACAGCATGGGGGATACCGCCCCATGATTCAAATTATCTCGCACCAGGTCCCTCTCACAACATATGGAAATTATAGGAGTACAATTCAAGAGGATATTTGGGTGGGGACACAGAGACAAATCATATCATTCCACCCTGGCCCCTCCAAGTTTCATGTTCTCACATTTCAAAACCAATCATGCCTCCCCAACAGTCCCCCAAAGTCTTAACTCATTTCGGCATTAATACAAAAGTCCACAGTCCAAAGTCTCATCTGAGACAAGGCAAGTTCCTTCCATCTATGAGCTTGTAAATTCAAAATCAAGCTAGTTACTTCCTAGATACAATGGGTGTACCAGTATTAGGTAAATGCAGCCATTCCAAATGGAGGAAATTGGCCAAAACAAAGGGGTTACAGGGACCATGCAAGTCTGAAATCCAATGAAGCAATAAAATTTTAAGGCTCACAAATAATCTCTTATGACTCTATATCTCACATTCAGGTCTCGCTGATGCAAAAGGAAGGTTCCCATAGTCTTGGGCTGCTATGCCCCTGTGGCTTTGCAGGGCATATCCCCCTTCCTGGATGCTTTCATGGGCTGGAGTTGAGTGTCTGTGACATTCCAGGCACATGGTACAAGCTGTCAGTGGATCTACCATTCTGGGGTCTGGAGGAAGGTGGCCCTCTTCTCACAGCTTCACTAGGCGGTGCCCCAGTATGGACTCTGTGTGGGGGCTCCCAACCCACGTTTTCCATCTGCATTGCCCTAGCAGAGGTTCTCCATGAGCGCCCCATCCTGGCAGCAAATTTTTGCCTGGGCATCCAGGCATTTCCATACACCTTCTGAAATCTAGGTGGAGGTTCCCAAACCTCAATTCTTGACTTCTGTGCACCTGCAGACTCAAAACCATGTGGAAGATGCAAAGGTTTGTGGCTTGCGCCCTCTGAAATGATGGGCTGAGCTCACCTTGGCCCATTTTAGCAATAGCTGTAGTGTCTGGGATGCAGGGCACCAAGTCCCTAGGCTGTACAAAGCATGGAGACTCTGGGCCCAGCCCAGGAAACCATTTTTCTTCCTAAGCTTCTGGGTCTATGATGGAAGGGGCTGCCATGAAGACCTATGACATGCCCTGGAGACATTTTTCCTATTGTCTTAGGGATTAACACTCAGCTTCCCATTACTTATGCAAATTTGAGCAGCCAGCTTGAATTTCCTCTCAAAAAATTTTTTTTTCTTTTTTACCACATTGTCAGGCTGCAAAATTTCTGAAATTTTATGCTGTGTTTCCCTTTTAAAACTGAATGCTTTTAACAGCATCCAAGTCAACTCTTGAATGCTTAGCTGCTTAGAAATTTCTTTCTCCAGATACCCTAAATTATCTCTCTCAAGTTCAAAGTTCCACAAATTTCTAGGGCAGGGACAAAATGCCATCATTCTCTTTGCTAAAACAGAACAAGAGTCACTTTTACTCCAGTTCCCAACAACTTACTCTTCTCCATTTGATACCTCCTCAGCCTGGACCTTATTGTTCATATCACTATCAGCATTTTTGTCAAAGCCATTCAGCAAGTCTCTCAGAGGTTCTAAACTTTTCCACATTTTCCTGTCTTCTCCTGAGCCCTCTAAACTGTTCCAACCACTGCCTGTTACCCAGTTCCAAAGTTGCTTCCACATTTTCAGTTATCTTTTAAGCAATGCCCCACTCTACTGGTACCAATTTACTGTATTGGTCCATTTTCATACTGCTGATAAAAGGCATACTCGAAATTAGGAAGAAAAAGAGGTTTAATTGGACTTAAAGTTCCATATGGCTGGGGAGGCCTCAGAATCATGGTGGAAGGTGAAAGGCATTTCTTACATGATGGCAGCAATAGAAAATGAGGAAGATGCAAAAGTGGAAACCCCTGATAAAATCATCAGATCTCATGAGACTTATTCACTGTCATGAGAACAGTATAGGGGAAACTGCCCCCATGATTCAAATTATCTTCCACTGTGTCCCTCCTGCAACACATGGGAATTATTGGAGTACAATTCAAGATGAGATTTGGATGGGGACACAGAGCAAAACCATATCAACACCTAAAGATTTAACAGACCAGATTAAAATATAAATACATAGGATTCCAATATAAATATTTATCTATAACAATATATATTATTATATATATTATAGCATTTGTATGATATGTTATAATATAATATAACAACCTTTATAATAATATGATAATGTAATATATTCTACAACACTGAAAAAAATTGTAAAGTTCTGTTCAGTAATTGAGGGTGAATTAATGATAGGCTTATACAACCATCTAAAAATAAAAGACAGAGAAAGTAAAGAAACTGTTGCAGGAGTGGCCAAGATGGTTGACTAAAAGCATTTAGTGTGTATGGCTCTCACAAAAAGGAATCGAAAGGTGAGTAAACAAAAAACCTTCAGCTGAACCATCCAGGTGCTCCCATTGGGACTAATCAAGGAAACAACATGATCTCTGGAGAATGAAGAAAAGCAATACAAGATAATGGCCCACCTGGGAGTAACACAGAGCCAGGGGCACATCTCCTGCCCAGGGAAGCAGTAAGTGAATATGTGTCCCTAGGAAACCACACTTCTCCCATGGATCTTTGCAATCCTTGGGTTAGCAGATCTCTTCATGAACACACTCTGCCAGGGCCTTCAGTCTGACAGACAGAGCTATGTGGAGTCTCAGCAGAGCAGCTGCTCATGCATGTATGCAGACCCTGGAGACTTAGATACTCAGACTTTCTGGCAAAAGTAGCTAGAGCTCTAGCAGAGTGGGAGGTTAGACCTCTGTACATACCCCTAGGAAAGATACTGATTCCAGTGGGTTGAGCAGCGATGGCCTTCAGGCCCCACTACCATGGAACCTCACAAGATAAGAACACTGGCTTGGAATTCCAGCCAGCCACTGGTAGTGGCATTGCACCTCACTTAGAAGAAGTTCCCACGAGGTGGAAGTGGGGGGATTGCCATCTTTGCTGTTTGGATGACTTAGCTATTCCAGGCTTCAGGCTTTGGAAAGACTGAGCCAACCGGGGGCAGAAAAAAATCCCCTAGCACAGCACAGCTGCTCTAATAAAACATGGCCAGAGTGCTTCTTTGAGCAGGTCCCAGATCCCACTTCTTGCTGGGTGGGACCTACCAGTGGGGGCCACAATCCACCAACATTTATGTTCTCTTGCCAAAGAGCTTTGGGTTCCCCCTGGGATGGTGCTCCCAGATGGAGGGGCAGGCCACCATCTTTGCTTTTTTGTCAACTTTAGCCATTCCACCCTTTGGGCTTTGGAGTGTCTGAGGCCACCAGAGGCTGAAGTGGACCACCAGCACAGCATAGCTGCTCTACCAAAATGTGTCCAGACTGCTTTTGTAAGTGGGTTTCCAGCCCCGTTTCTCCTCACTGACCAGGACCTCTAAACCGTAGTCTCCAGCCACTTCCTACAAGTGCCTTTGGACCAGCAACAGGACCTTACCTCCCTTGGACTAAGCTCCCAGATGGAGGGAAAGGCTGCAATTTGGCGTTTCACAGCTTTCACTGGTAAAACCTCCATGTACTGGAAATCCAAAGTGATGAGGAATTAGAATGGGCCCCAAGCATACCACAGCAGCTGTATGGAAAAGTTGCCAGACTGTTATGTGGGTGCCTGTTTCCATATCTCATCATCAGGAAAGTCCTCTGTGCCTGGGCCTCCAGCCATTCCCTGCTAGAGCTATTGAGCCAGTAGCAGTAAAGCAGGAGATGTAAAAGGAAAGGAAAAGAGAGAAAAACAAGTTCTCTGTACTGGGCTGACTCACTCCAAGGCCCAGTGATAAGCAGGGCTCTCCCAGGGCTTTGACAGCATTATCAGCAGAGCTGGGGCCCAGAAGCAATGGGCTTCAGGAGCAGGGATAAGAGAAACAAGTTCTTCTTATCAGTTTACCCCTTTGAAATTCTTTCCCCACTCCGTTATTCCTTTTTTCTCCTCTCATAACTATTTCTGCAAGCTTGTAAGGATTTTGTAAGTTCCTGTTTTCCAGCTGTGCAGTATGGCAAAGGTCACAAGACATGCCTGAGTTATAAAACCTGTCACTGATAAACTGCCTTTGTTCTGCTTTTGTAAGCTTGCTTACTCGCCTTACAGGTTTCATGCCCTTTTCAGATGTATCTATAAAAATCAAGCCCTGTCTTTATTTGGGGCTCAGCCCTTGGATGTTAATCCACTGAGTTAGTGGCCACCTAATAAAATCCTCCTATCCCACCCATTGGTCTCTCCTGTCCAGTGATTTCTACAAAAGCAGCTCTGCAACTCCATGGGCAGAGCCCTGAGGGGCAACTGAAAGGTTCTCTGCCACTACCTCTGCAGTGGAACTGCCCTTACTACCCTCAGACTAACAAAAGACCAAAGACCTTAGGTGCCTGTGATGCTTAATACAGAGTGTCAACTTGATTAGATTGAAGGATGCAAAGTATCGATCTGGGTGTCTCTGTAAGGGTGTTGCCAAATGAGATTAACATTTAAGTCAGTGGGCTGGGAAAGGCAGATCAACCCTTAATCTGGGTGAGCACCATCTAATCAGCTGCCAGTGTTGCCTGAATATAAAGCAGAGAGAAAAACATGAAAAGTCTAGACTGGCTTAGCCTCCCAGTCTACATCTTTCTCCCATGCTGGATGTTTCCTGCCCTCAAACATCAGACTCCAAGTTCTTCAGCTTTGGGACTCAGACTGGCTTCCTTTCTCCTCAGGTTGAGACAGACTATTGTGGGAACTTGTGATTGTGTGAGTTAATACTACTTAACAAACTCCCCTTTATATATGTATATCTATCCTATTTGTTCTGTCCCTCAGGAGAATCCTGACTAATTCAGCGCTTATTCACACATCCAACGAGCTGCAGTAGACCCAAAGAAACAAGGCCAGTCCATCTTCCACAGGTTCTACACACCCCCCAGTGCTCATAATCAGACAGGGAACCCCTGGCTTAGGCCCACAGCACAAACCTTCCATCCTAGGCTGATTGCACTGAGAGATTTCTGACCTGCATCTCTCCAGGAGACAGGCAAATTACCCTCAGCCACAACCACTACTAAGATCCCTTCCTCTGCTGCCTCCAAGTTGGGGAAAGAAGAAAAACACTGATAGCACCCCAGAGCTGCAGTGGGCAGCCTAGGAGTGTCAAGTCATGTTTTACAACCAGCCCTCAAGGGGGAAAGAAACCCACACTTTCATAGCATTAAGAGAAAATATGACTGCAACTGTGAGGAAACATAAGAGAGCTACACAACCAACAAAAGTCTACCAACTAACCAATAAGCCTAATTGCCACCTGCTGGATTACACCCCCATGGTTTAACACCAAAAATAACCCCACTAACATACCTCCCTCTGAAACCAGAGACAAGGAGGAAGATTCAAATAAAAACCCTGTACAAAGCCTTGGACCAGTGAAAACATCCAGAAAAGAAGTCTATTGACTGTACTCAACCTACACTGTAGTTAAAGGAACACCCAATATCGAGATGTGAATAAACCAGTGCAGAAACTCTGGTAACTCAAATGGCCAGAGTGTTTTATGTCCTCCAAACAACTGCACCAGTTCTCCAACAAGAGTTCTTAACCAGGCTATACTGACTGCAATGACATAAATATAAGTCAGAATATGGATAGGAATAAAGGTAATGGAGATTCAGGAGGATGACAAAACCCAATCAAAGGAAAATAAGAATCACAACTAAGTAATACAGCAGTTGAATGATGAAATATTCAGCCCAAGGGAACCTAAAAGGTCTTACACAGCTAAATGACACAATACAAGAATTTCACAATGCAATCACACGTATTAACAACAGAATAAACCAAGCTGAGGAAAGAATCTCAGAACCTGAAAAACGTTGTTCTGAAATAAAACAGTCAAAATGAAATAAAGAAAAAAAGAATAAAAAGGGATGAACAAAACCCAGAGAAGCATGGGATTATGTAAAGAGGCAAAATCTATGAATCACTGGCATCCTGAAAAGGAGGGTGAGAAAGCAAACAACTTAGCAAATATATTTCTTGATATCATCCATGAAAACTTCCCCAAACTTGATAGAGAGGTCAACAATCAAATTCAGGAAATACAGACAGCTCCTTCAAGATTGTACACAATAAATCACCCCAAAGACACATAATCATCAGATTTCCCAATAAAACAGTCAAAATGAAATAAAGAAAAAAAGAATAAAAAGGGATGAACAAAACCCAGAGAAGCATGGGATTATGTAAAGAGGCAAAATCTATGAATCCCTGGCATCCTGAAAAGGAGGGTGAGAAAGCAAACAACTTAGCAAATATATTTCTTGATATCATCCACGAAAACTTCCCCAAACTTGATAGAGAGGTCAACAATCAAATTCAGGAAATACAGACAGCTCCTTCAAGATTGTACACAATAAATCACCCCAAAGACACATAATCATCAGATTTCCCAAGGTTGAAATGAAAGAAAAAAATATTGAAGTCAGCTAAAGAGAAAGGGCAGGTAACCTACAAAAAAGAAAAATACTCCATCAGGAGAACAGTGGACTTCTCAGGTGAAAATCTACAAGCCAGAAGAGATTGGATGCTTATATTTATGATTCTTAAAGAAAAAAATATTCAACCAAGAATTTCCTATCCAGCCAAACTAAGCTTCCTAAGTGAAAGAGAAATAAGATCCTTTTCAGACATGCAAATGTTGAAATAATGTATTGTGTGTTATTATGTGAGGGCCATCTCACAAGTACTGATACTCATAAGCTCAAAATAAAAGGACAAAGAAAAGTCTACCAACCAAAGGGAAAACATAAGCAGGGATTGCAATCCTAATTTCAGAAAAAACATATTTCAAACCAACAAAGATCAAAAAAGATGAAGAAGGGCATTACATAATGGTAAAGGGTTCAATTCAATAAGAAGATCTAACTGTTGTAAACATATATTCACCCAACACAGGAGCATCCAGATTTGTAAAGCAGGTTTTTAGAGACCTACAAAGAGACATAGACTCCCACACAATAAAGTGAGAGACTTCAACACTCTACTGACTGTATTAGACAGATTATCAAGGCAGAGAATTAACAAAGATATTCAGGGCCTAAACTCAACATTGGACCAAAATGGATATTATGGACCTTTATGGAACTCTCCACCCAAAACCAACAGAATATACATTCTTCTCATTGCCACGTGGCATATACTCTAAAATCAACCATATAATTAGACATAAAACTATCCTGAACAAGTGCAAAAGAACAAAAATCATACCAAACATACTCTTGGAACACAGTGCAATAAAAATAGAAGTCAAGACCATGAAAATAGTTCAAAACCATTCAATTACAACATTATCCTGAATTACTTTCATGTAAATAATAAGATTAAGGCAGAAATCAAGAAGTTATTTGAGAATAATGAAAGCAAAGATATAATATACCAGAATCTCTGCAACAAAGCAGAGGCAGTGTTAAGAGGAAAATTCATAGCACTAAATTCTCACATTGAAAAGTTAGAAAGATTTTAAGTTAACAACCTAAATTCACAAGTGAAGGAATTGGTGAAACAAGAAAAAATCAACCTCAAAGTGAATGGAAGATGAGAAATAACAAAAAGCAGAGCTGAACGGAAAGAAATTAAGACAAGAAAAAACATTGAAAAGATTAATGAATGCAGGAGTTGGTGAAATAGATTGGCCGCTAGCTAGGCCAATAAAGAAGAAAAATGAGAAGATTCAAATAAGCAAAATTAGAAATGATGATGGAAATGTTACTAAATAACCCACACAAATAAAAAAAAACATCAGAAACTACGCAAACAACTCTACTCACACAAACTAGAAAACCTAGAAAAGATGAGTAAATTCCTGGACATACACACCCTTCCAAGACTGAGTCAGTAAAAAATTGATTCCCTGAACAGACCAATAACAAGCTGGGAAATTGAATCAGAAATAAATAGCCTATCAACCTATGCCTGGACCTGATGGATTTACAGTCGAATTCTATCTACCAGATGTACAAGGAAGAGCTCATACTATTCCTAAAGAAACCTTCCCAGAAAATTGAGAAAGGACTCCTCTCCAACTCATTCTATGAGGCCAGCATAATTTGATACCCAAACCCAGCAGACATGCACACACACACACACACACACACACACGCACACACGCACACACACACCAAACAAACAAACAAAAAAAAACACTTCAGGCCAATATCCTTGGTGAACATAGATGTCAAAATCCTCAACAGAATACTTGCAAACCAAATTCAGCAGCTTATCAAAAAGTTAATCCACCATGATCAAATAGACTGCTGATATCCAACCTGTGGCAAAGTTTCTCTGCCCTTTTGAGCTAAGACACTAGTGAGAGTGGTGATTTGGGGACTATCAGAGGCCATTACACCAGACAGCAAACTCACATCAGTCACTTTCTCTCCCCCATAACTCAAGTGTCTGTAACAGGGGACCATTGTGGAACACAAGCATTGAGAGACTGTATTCCAAGCAGCAAAAATTACCCTTTTTGTCTCCACAACCTGGGAGCTTCTGTAGAAATTCCTCACACACTTGAAGGGCAACAGCAGCACAATGCTGGTTGGACCCAAGGGAGATGCAAGGTTCCAGTGATTTAGCTCTCAGGAAGTGCTACTCTTAAGGGAAGGGAAATTCCTGTGCACAAAGAGGGCAGCCCCTGGGAAAAAGGAATGCAAAGTGTGCACTTTCCAGTGTCCAGGGGCTTTTGGCTTAGGCCCATGATTGACAGCTTTACTTCCAGTAGAGGCACAAACTATTTGCTGGACTCTGAAAGCAAGGAGTAAAATCCCATTCCACCAGCCAACCAGCCTTGATGCTTGAGCCCAGATGTAAGGAGTGAGACTATTCCTGCCACAGTGCTCACTGCTGTAGACATAGCCATTGCTACTCCCACAGGAATTTGGCACTGGTGAGGAGCAGGGCAGCCTGCTTGGAGCTGTGAAGGGTAACTGCATCCCTACTGGCAGCATGGTCTCTGAGCTTGAATTTGCTTGAAAGGTAATGCATTAGTCTGCATTCACACTGCTGATAAAGACATACCTGAGACTGAGTAATTAACAATGAAAAAGAGGTTTTATGGACTCACAGTTCCCTGTGGCTTGGGATGTCTCACAATCATGGCAAAAGGTGAAAGGCACATTTCACATGGTAGCAGACAAGAGAGGAGAACTTGTACAGGAAAACTCCCCTTTATAAAACCATCAGATCTCATGAGACTTATTCACTATCACAAGAACAGCAAGAGAAAGACCTGCCCTCATGATTCAATTACCTCCCACTGGGTCCCTCCCACAACACATGAGAATTGCGGAAGCTATGATTCAACATGAGATTTGAGTGGAGACACAACCAAACTATATCATTCTACCCCTGGTCCTTCCTAAATCTCATGTCCTCACATTTCAAAACCAATCAGTCTACCTCAACAGTCCCGCAAAGTCTTAACTCATTTCAGCATTAACTCAAAGTTCACAGTCCAAAGTCCCATCTGAGACAAAGCAAGTCCATTCTGTCTATGAGCCTGTAAAATTAAAAGCAAGTTAGTTACTTCCCAGACACCATGTGTGTACAGGCATTGGGTAAATACGGCTGTTCTGAATGGGAGAAATTGGCCAAAACGAAAAGGCTAAAGTCCCGATACGAGTCCAAAATCCAGCAGAACAGTCAAATCTTAAAGCTCCAAATTGATCTCCTTTGACTCCATGTCTCACATTCCAGGTCATGCTGATGCAAGAGGTGGATTCACATGGTCATGGACAGCTCTGCCCCTGTGACTTTGCAGGGTATAGCCTCTCTCCTGGCTGATTTCATGGGCTGGTGTTGAATGCCTGCAGCTTTTCCAGAAGCACAACACAAACTGTCAGTGGGTCTACCATTCTGGGTCTGGAGGATGGTAACCCTCTTCTCACAGCTCCACTAGGCTAGGCCTCCAGGCCTGTGTTGGAAGGGGCTACTGCAAAGGTCTCTGACATGCCCTGGAGACATTTTCTTCATTGCCTGGGTGATTAACATTTGACTCCTTGTTGACTTATGCAAATTTCTGCAGACAGTGGCTTGAATTTCTCCTCAGAAAATTGGATTTTCCTTTCTATTGCATTGTCAGGTTGCAAATTTTCCAAATGTTTATGCTTTGTTTTCCTTATAAAACTGAATGCCTTTAACAGCATCCAAGTCACCTCTTGAATGCTTTGCTGCTTAGAAATTTCTTCCACCAGATACCCTAAATCACCTCTCTCAAGTTCACAGTTCCACAAATCTCTAGGGCAGGGGCAAAATGCTGCCAGTCTCTTTGCTAAAACATAGCAAGAGTCACCTTTGCTTCAATTCCCAACAAATTCCTCATCTACATCTGAGACAACCTCAGCCTTGGTTTCATTGTCCATATCATTATCAGCATTTTTGTCAAAGCCATTCAACAAGGTTCTAGGAAGTTCCAAACTGTCCCACATTTTCCTGTCTTCTTTTGAGCCCTCCAAACTGTTCCAATCTTTTCCTGTTACCCAGTTCCAAAGTGGCTTCCACATTTTGGGTATCTTTACAGCAGTGCCCCACTGTACTGGTACCAATTTACTGTATTAGTCTGCTTTCACACCACCTATAAAGACATACCCAAGACTGGGTAATTTATAAGAAAAAAGAGGTTCAATATACTCACAGTTCCACATGGCTAGGGAGGCCTCACAGTTATGGCAGAAAGTGAAAAGCACGTTTCACATGGCAATGGACAAGAAAGGACAACTTGTCCAGGGAAACTCCTCTTTCTAAAAATCATCTGACCTCATGAGACTTATTCAGTATCACAAGAACAGCATGGGAAAGACCTGCCTCCATGAGTTAGTTACCTCCTACAGGGTCCTTCCCACACGTGGGAATTGTTGGAGCTACAATTCAAGATGAGATTTGGGTGGGGACATGGCAAAACCATATCAGGTAGGAAACCTCTCTTTCTCTGCACAAAGCTGCAGTGCTTCTGCCATGGAAAGCAAGAGGTCTGGAGAGCTGCATGGAAATCTGCACACCACAGCCATTTCCAGACAGCACAGAAGTTTAATACTCAGCCACAAAGCAGGTGTCAACTACAGCTCTGGTCTACGTTGTAGCCAGGACATAAACAGCAATGTCTGACTGAAATGAACATCCCCAGAATTGGGACAGTGGCATGATAGAAACAGATGACATTCCTGCCTGCCAAGGCCATGGTACAGGGACAGCTTCTCCGTGCATGTTGAGACCTTGGCATGCTTCCCCAGAAACATGAAACTTTCTTGCCACCCCAGTCAGGGCTGGTGCTTGTGCCCACTCCTGACAGACCTGAAGGCAAGGCTCCCCAGTCCAGCTCCACCAGTTTTGTCTCCATTTTGGGGCTGAGACAAGAGTCAAGACCGCTGTGCATTCCACAGAGCAGCCTATTGCCTGAGACACTGGAGAGCTTCATCCAGTGAAAAAATTAAGTATAAACACTACTGCTACGACCCCAGCTGTCTATTACCTGGAAGTGCCACCTGCTGGCCTGGGGATCAAGCTGCACAACTCAATTCAATTCTGCTGACACAACTGCACAGCACATGGGAATGAGATTAGCTTTTTAAGATCACTGTGACTGCAGCTCCATAGGAGGCTGTGAGCCTGCTCACATGCCCAATACACCGTGACTCCACCTGGCATTTGAAAAAGCCACTACACAAATGCTATCTATAATCAAGGAATTCATACAAAGTCTTTGCCACTGAAAGCACCCAGAAGCAAAGCCACATGAGACTACTCAACAAACATTCTAGTCACATCTTTAAAGAATAAAAGCCAAAAAACGGAAATAAATTTAAAATTAAGAAGTGACAGTCTTTACAGATGAGAAGGAACCAGCATAACAATTTTGGAAGTATAAAAAAAGAAAACAGGGTATTACAACACCCCCCACCCCAAAATCACACTAACTGCCCAGCAATAGATCTTAACATAAACAAAATTTTTGAAATACCAGATAAAAATTAAAACATTTATTTTTAAAGAAGCTCAATGAGATTCAAGAGAAATCTGCAATCAATACAAAAAATTCAGAAAAACGATTCAAGGTATGAATGAGAGATTTAGCAAAGACGTAGATATTTTAAAAAGAACAAAAAACAGAACTTCTGGAAATAGGTATTTATTAAAATAATTACAAACTATAGTTGAAAGTTTCAACAATAGACTAGATCAACAATAGACTAGATCAAGAAAATTGGACTCCTATCTCTTACCATATACAAATCAGCTCAAGATGTATTAATGATTTAAATGTAAGACCTGAAGCTATTGAAATACTTAATGAAAACCCAGGCAAATCTCTTCTGGACATTGGTGTAGTCAAATAATTTATGTCTAAGACCTCAAAAGCAAATATAACAAAAACAAAAGTAAACAAGGGTGTCTCGGTTAAACTAAAGATTCTTCACAACAGCAGCAAAAGTGTAATCAACTGAGTGCATGAAGAACCTGAGAATGAGAGGAAATATTTGCAAACTATGTGTCTGTCAAGGAACTAATAATCAGATTCTATAAGAATCTCAAACAAATAACTGTTAGAAAAGAAAATAACAAAGGAAACAAAATAACAAATATTTCATTTAAAAGTGGGCAAAGATCATAAACAGATTATTAGCTCATTTACAGTTTCTAGACCCTTTGATATACCCATTGTAAGTATGGAGTTACTGAGTGATATAGACAACTTTTGGCTAAATTTTACATCAAGTGTCCTTCAGAATTGTCTACCTTGCAAATCACATTAGTAAATAATATCCACTTCCTTCAAGCCTTGGGGCTAGGGAAGATATTTAGTCTGTACTTTTTAGACCTGAAAGGTGTTTAAACAATATAAAACCGAGAATCTCTTACGCATCATAGGGTAATTTTTAAAGTTCTTTAGGAATTCCCTCCTTTTCTTTTCTGTTTTAATCTCACTTGAAGTTCCCTTGACTCAGGAAAATGCAATTAACTTCAGCAGTCAATCACTTGATCATCAGATCCTAGAAATCCATCTTCAAAGATAAATATTTAGCTTCATCAATGCTACTTATCAATTGAACAGAATCCAAGATTCTTCACATTGTTGCTTGCTGTATGCTTCAACAAACTCTGGTGACACAGGTCACCAAACGTTGCCCATTTCTCTCAAAATTGTTTTAAAATCAGCTCTATACTAGGATTTATTATTATAATTTTCCAGCAAGATTCAAACATTAGTCAACTTTGCTCCTGTCACTGCCAGAGAGAACGACAAATTTCCCAACATTATCTCATTAAAGCCCTCCAATCTTGACTTGAGGTGGGCTAAATGTTTGTGTCCTCCCAAAATTTATATGTGGAGACCCTAATCCCACTTAGATGGTATTAGGACATAGAGCCTTTTGAAGGTGATTAGGTAATGTGAGTAGAGCCTTCATAAATGGAATTCATGTCTTTATAAAACAGAACCCTGGAAACTCTCCCACCATGTGAGAACACAGGGAGAAGTCAATAGTCTCGAACGCAGAAGATAACCCTCCTTTGAACTCAAACAAGCTGGCACTATAATCTTGGGCTTCTCATTCTCCAGAAGTGTGAGAAATAAATGTTTGTTGTTTAAGCCATCCAAATGATGGTATATTTGTAGCAACCTAAATGGACTAAGATAAGTTGTTTATAGTAGTATCACCAAGCTCACCTTTTGAAAACATAGAATTCACAGCTCAACTCTCTCCAAAGAAATCCTATTCACAAATTCTCCAGTTATCATCAAATGCCATGCAATCAGTATTTGCTTAAGTGTTTTTAAAATCTTTCAAAATTGTCCTTCTCAAAACTCATTTTGGCATATGCTATTTATGTTTCTTCAAGATCCTTCAAAATCAAAGGAAAGAAGAATCTTATTTTTACTGGTTACAATAATTTTACCTGTCCTAAGAAATAAATTAGCATTGTAATTATTTGTTCCTTAAATTCATGAATTCAATCAGAAAGATAATACTTTACAGAATTTTTATATATTTGTTCATTTTCTATCCTCATACACAAAACAGCCACCACCTAAGTACTAGCCCAGGCAGAAAATAAAGAAATATATATATATATATATATATACATACATATTTTATGACATGCATAAAATAAATTACATATGTATTTTCTCCTAAATGTGAAAGATAATATGATAAATATTTTGGAGAATAACATGATACAGTATTTCTGAGCCCTCAGAGAAAGAAAAAAGTGTTTATTAAACAAGACAGAGAAAATATTGATTATAAAGGAAAAATATATAAACTCTACTATATTAAAAAGTAAGCACTTTTGAGTTTCCCTTTTGTAATAACAGCATAAGGAGTTCTGGGTACTCATTCTTCAGTGAAACAAGAAAAATTGATAGAAATGATATTTTTAAATAGTCTCTAAATATTATTTTAAAGGAATTTAGTAAGTGAATAAATATTTATTCAAAAACAATTCTACCAAACTTCTGTAAGAACAGCAAGAGTCTATGGCTCTTGAGCCATGACCTGATCTTTCTCTCCTCTTTCCCATAGCTCAGCTGGATAAAAGCCACACTGTGGGTAACTGTGGCAAATCAGACAGGGCTGCCTCTTATCTCAGGTCCCAATCAAGGGATGCAGTATCTTACTTGGAGGTCCAGGAAACCATCACTTCTCATCTCTTTCAATTCCAATTTTAAGAGGCTGAATAACTAGCTGGTGAATTTAATAGGGCAGAGGCTTCCTTTCTCTATCTTACCCACACCTCCTCTACCCCAAGGGTGGCATGCTGAGAATACTGCGAACCTAATTTATCTTACCCTAGGTCAATGGTAATGAAGATATTACACACACAAAAAAAGATGAGACAAGAAGGCCAAAGGCTACTCCTCTGCATAGTGTTTAGTGTATAGCTCAGTGACTTTCCCCAGAAGAAAAAAATCAGTTCATAAGACAGAAAAGCTTTCAACTTTACCCAAATGAGTTGACTTTGTTTGAAACAAAATATGGAAAAGTTAAAGACTGAGGATGTGCTTACAAATAATAGCTCATCTGAATTAATAGCAAAAAGCTAAACCATTGGCCAGCTAATTCAAAAGAAAAGAAAAAAACAGGGAATGAGATAGCCAAAATGAGTCCTTCTGGGGTCACACACACACACACACACACAAAAAAAAAACCTTCAAAAATGGTTTAAATAACTATTCCTGCAAATGGGTCAAAATATAATAAAATCATATGTGGAACAATTTATGCCACAGAAAAATGTCAAAAATAATAAAATAACCAGCCAGCAATAAGGTAAGGATATTAGAAATGAAAAATCCATCAGGATACAAAACCAATGAACAAAAACATAATGTTTTAGGATACAAAATCAATGAAAAAAATTTAGTAGCATTGGTATACACAAATAATGTTTAGACTGAGAGTCAAATTAACAGTATAATCCCATATACAATAGCCACA
Source organism: Homo sapiens (assembly GCF_000001405.40). Classification (NCBI taxonomy): domain Eukaryota; kingdom Metazoa; phylum Chordata; class Mammalia; order Primates; family Hominidae; genus Homo; species Homo sapiens. Next base: position 82,226,255 of record NC_000023.11, on the reverse strand, counting down.
AAGAAAATGAAATACCTAGAAATAGCCTTAACCAAGAAGGTGAAATACCTATGCAAGGAGAATTACAAAATCTTGCTGAAAGAAATAAAAGATGACTGAAGTAAATTGAAAAACATTTCATGCTCATGGATTAGAAGAATCAATGTAATGAAAATGGCCATACCATCCAAAGCAATGTACAAGTTCAACCCTATTTGTAACAAAATACAAATGTCATTCTTCAAGAATTAGTAAAATAACAATTCTAAAATTTATATGGTAACATAAAGGAGCTCAAGTAGCCAAAGCAATCCTAAGCAAAAAGAACAAAATCATAAGCATCGGACTCTTTTATTTCATACTATACTATAAGGCTATAGTAACCAAAAGAGCATGGTTCTGGTACAAAAAGAGACATTGAGTAATGGAATAGAACTGAAAACTCAGAAATAAACCTACACACTTACAACCATCTGATCTTCAACAAGGCTGACAAAAACAAACAATGGGAAAAGGACTCCCTATTCAAATGGTGCTCAGTTAACTGGCTAGCTATATGCAGCAGAATGAAACTAGACCCTTACCATAAACAAAAATTAACTCAAATGTATTAAATATTTAGGTGTAACACCTGCAACCATAAGAATCTTAGAAGACAAAGTAGGAAATACCTTTCTAAGCATTGGCCTTTGCAAATAATTAATTTATAAGTCCCCCAAACCAATTGCAACAAAAACAAAAATTGACAAGGGGAACTTAATTAAACTAATGAGTTTCCACATAGCAAGGGAAACTATATATTGAGTAAACAGACAATCTAAAAAATAGGTGAGTAAATAGACAACCTAAAAAATAGGAGAAAATACTCACAAACTGTGCATCTTACAGAGGTCTAATATCCAGAATATATATGGAATTTAAACAAATAAGCAAAACACAAATAACTCCATTAAAAATACACAAAAGATATGAACAGACACTTCTCAAAAGATGACATGCAAGCAGCCAACACACATGAAAAAAATGCTCATCATTTCTAATCATCAGAGAAATGCAACTCAAAACCACATTGAGATGCCATCTTGCACCTGTCAGAATGGCTATTACTAAAGAGTCAAAAATCAACAGATGCTGGTGAGGCTGTGGTTAAAAAGGAATGCTTATACACTGTTAGTGGGAATGCAAATTAGTTCACCAGCTGTGGAAAGCAGTTTGGAGATTTCTCACAATTAGATTCAACTCAAATAAGACTATATCAATACATAAAGAAACCATCAGAAATCAAAGTGAATCCTGAAAGCAACAACAAAAAGAAACAAATTACAAATAATTTTTGTAGTTGTAAATATTGTACAAATTCCAATAACCATAGTGGCAAGCTTCTCAGCAGAAACATTACAGGCCCCATGAGAGTTGAGTGATATAGTCAAAGTACTAAAGAAAAAAAAAGACTGTCAACCAAAAATACTTTACCAAGCAAAGCTTTCCAGAAATAAATAAAATAAAAGACTTCCCCAAACAGTAGCTGAGAGAGTTTAGTACCACCAAAGGTATCATAGAAGAAATGCTAAGGAAAATTCTTCAAGCTGAAGAGAAGAATGCTAATTAGAAACACAAAACAGATAACATTATAAAACACACAAGGAAAAGTAAGTATAAAGTAAAATTCAAAATATTCTGTTAGTGTAATGGTGATTTGTAAATCACTTCTATATTCAGTATAAAGGTTAAAATACAAAACTATTAAAAATAATAGCTATAAGAATTCAATAAAGGATACACTATATAAACATGTACATTGTAACACCAAAAAACTTAAAATGTGTCATGAAATGGAGTAGAATTGCTGAGGTTTTCTTCTGTGAATAAAGTTAAGCTTTTATCAGCTTAAAATAGCATATTATTACTATAAAGTGTTCTATGAAACCTCAAGCAACCACAAAGCACAATCCTGTACTATATATGTGGAAGATAAAAATATGAAATCAAAAAATACTTCTAGGGAAAATCACCTAATCACATAGAAGATAGTAAAAGAAAAAAAAGGAATAAAGCATCTACAAAACAAACAATAAATAATTAACACAATGGTAGTAGTCTTTAAATATCAATAAACAAATCTAAATGCATTAAATTCTCTAATTAAAAGTCAAAGAGTGGCTGAATGGATTAAATACAAAACAAAACTAGGCCCTACTGTATTCTGCCTACAAAAAAAATCACTTCATATTTAAGGACACACCTGGATTGGGAACAATAAACAGGAATGTGAAAAACAAATAAAATAGAAGTCAGATAAAATTAAAGTCAAGTCACAAACTGCAAAAAGAAACAAAGCAAGTCATTATACAAAGATAAAGGGATCTATACATCAAAACAATAAAATAATTGTAAATACACATGTGTACAACATTAGAGCACATAAATATATAATGGAAATATTAATAGATCTGAAGTGACAGACAGATGGTGACATGATAGTAGTAGAAAACTTTAATACCCCACTTTCAACAATGTATACATCATTCAGACAGAAAATAAATAAGATACCAGTAGAAACAAACAAAATAGTAGACCAAATGGAATAGACATATACAGAACATTCCATCCTACAATAGCAGAATGCACATTTATTTCAAGAATATATGGAACATTCTCCAGGATAGATTCAATGTTAGCCTGTAAAAATATGTTAACTAATTGAAAAATATTGCAATTGTATCAAGTATATTTTCTGATATTGATGATATTAAACTGGAAATCAGTAACAGAGAGAATTTAATAAAATACAAATAGAAATCCCTGAAACATAATCTTGCAAAACAGCCAATGGGCAAAAAAAAATTAAAGGAATGTTAAAAATGCATTAAGAAAACATAAAATGGAAATATACAAAAACAAATAAGATTCATTAAAAGTAGTTTTAAGAGAAAAGATTATGGCAACAAATGTTTACACTGAAAAAGAAGAAAGATCTCAAATAAACAACCTGCTATTGTACTTCAAGGAACCAGAAAGAGAAAGACAAACTAGGCCAAAGTTAATTGAAAAAATAAATAATAAAGATCAGAGAATAAATAAATAAAATGAAGACCAGAAAAACGATAGAAAAATCAATAAAGCAGAATTTATTTTTTGAAATGATGAAAAAAATCTTAGGTAGACAAAGATAAAAAGAAAGAAAATGTAAATTAAAAAATTAAAAAGAAGACATTACAACTGATATTACAAAAAGTAAAAAGGAACATGAGAGTTTTGTATGGACAATTATATAACAAAAATTGGATAACCTGAAAGAAATGACTGTATTCTGAGAAACAGTACAACCCACCAAGACCAAATCTGGAAGAAAGAAAATCTGAACAGACCAATAATGAGTATAAAAACTGAATCAGTAATAAATGTCTCTTCAAAGAAAGTGCAGGACTTTGTGGTTTCACTGGTGAATTCTACCAAACATTTAAAGAAAGATTAATACCAAACCTTCTCAAACTTTTCTAAAAATTAAGAAAGCAGGAATACTTCCAAACTGTTTTTGCAAAGCCAGCATGACCCTGATACACAAACCAGATAGTGACATTATAAGGAAAGAAAGTTACAGTTCAATATCCCTGATTAACATAGATGCCAAAATTCTCAACAAAATTCTAGTAAATGGAGTTCAACAGCACATTGAAAGAATAATTTACCATGATCAAGTAAAATTTATCACAAGGATTCAAGAATGGTCTAACATACACAAATTTATAAGATGTACTATGTGTTAAGGAATAATGACCAAAAAATAATCACCTTAACTGATGCAGAAAAAGCATTTGTTAAATGTTCAAGATTCCTTCCTATAAAAACTCTAAAACATTTAAATTTGGAAGGAATGTGCCTCAATACAATAATGGCCATATATGACAAACATACAGTTAACATAGTCAATGATAAAAAGTTAAAAACATTTCTTTTAAGTTCAGAAAAAAGACAAAGATGTCTACGCTCAACATTTTTATTTGAATATTGGTAGTAATAGCCAAAGCAATTAGGAGGAGAAATAGAAGACATTCAATTGAAAAGAAAAAAATTAAAGTATTGCCTTTTTAATATGACATGATATTTTATACGAAATTATTAAAATTGTTGAAACTAAGAAATTACTTCAGTAAATTTGGAGTTTGTAAAGTAAACATACAAAGATGAGTAGAGTTTTTGTACACTAACCTTGAACTATTAAATAGTAGAAGCAAAAAGCAAATTACATTTACAATAGCCACAAACATTAAAATACTTGGAAATAAATTTATGCAAAGTGGTGAAAGACCTACACACTGAAACTGTAAAACAATGAAGAAATTAATGAAAGCAGGCATAAATAAATGAAAATGTATCCTGTGTGTTTGTGTGTAGGACTAATTAATATTGTTAGCATGCCCATACTACCCAAAGTTATCTACAGATTCAATGCAATTCTTATCAAAATATAAACACTATTTTTATCAGAAGTTGAAAAAACAATTTTAAAATTAATTTAAAACTACGAATGACCCTGAATAGCTAACGCAATCTGGAGCAATAAGAACAAAGCTAAAGATAACACCCTATCTGACTTAAAAATATACTACAAAGCTATAGCAACCAAAGCAGCATAGTACTGGTATAAACAAAGACATCTAGAAGAATGGAATAGAGTAGGAAGCCAACAAATAAATCCAGGCATTTACAGTCCATTGATTTTTAACAAATTTGCTATAAATACACAATGGAGAAAAGATAGTTTCTGTAAGAAATAGTGCTGGGAAGAGTGGATATTCACATGCAGAGAATCAAATTAGGCCCCTATATCACACCATACAAAAAATTAACTAAAAATGGTTGAAAGACTTAGATGTAAGACCTGAAACTGTAAAACTATTAGAAGAAAACATAGGATAAATGTTTCATGACATTGGAGTGGGCAATGATTATTTTAATATCTATCCCCGAAAGCACAGGCAAAAAAGTAAAAATAGACAAATGGGATTACATCAAACTGAAAATCTTCTGGACAGCTAGGGAAACAATAAACATAGCAAAGGAAACCTACAAAATCAGAGAAGATATTTGCAAGTCATTGGTGTGAGAAGGGGTTAATATTCAGACATATAAGGAACTCCTACAACTCAATGGCAAAAATGTAAACCTGATTAAACAATAAGGAAATAATCTGAATAGAAATTTCTCTAAAGAAGACATGCAAATGACCAGCAGGTATGTAAAAACATTGTTCAACATTGCTAAACAAAATTAAGAGCAAATTAAAACCACAATGAGATATTACCTCACACTTGTTAGAAGGGCTATTAAAAAAAGATGAATAAGTGTTGGTGAGAATGTGAAGAAAAGGGAAATCTTGCACACTATTGATTGAAATTTGAATTAGTACAGCTATTAAAAAATAGATTCAAGGGAGGGAAGATGGTCAACCAGAAGTTGCTAGTGTTTCCTGCTCTCATAGAAAGAAATACTAGGCAAGTGAATACTACACCTTCCACTGTAACATCCAGGTGCACGTATGCATTGGAATTTATCAAGGAAACAACTTGACCCATGGAGAACAGAGAAGAGAAAGACAGGATGACTGCCCCCCAACCCCCCCACCCCATGGGAGTAACATGGAGACAGGGGAGGCTTTCCTGCCCAGGGAAACAGTGAGTGAGAAACCCCAAGGGCCTACATTTCTTCCACGAATCCTTGCAACCCTGGTGTCAGGAAAGCCTCTTGTGAACCTGCTCCACCAGGGCCTTCAGTCTGACATGCAGAGCTAAGTGGAGTCTTGGCAGAGCCATCACTCAGGCACACGTTGAGTCCTGGGAGCCTTGGATCCCTGGGCATTGTGGCAATAGCAGCTGCATCTCCAGCAAAGGGGCAGGTTAGCATCCCTTACATGCCCGAGGAAAGGGGCTGAATCCACGGGGCTGAGCAACAGTGACAAGCAGGCTTTACTTTCATGGAAACTTTCAGGAAAAGACCCACCGGCCTGGGACTCCAGCCACCCACAGTCAGTGCTCTTGAGCTGGCAGCAGCTACACAACTCCTTGAAATGAAACTCTCAGGGGAAAGGTTGGGCTAGCATATTTGCTATTTTGCAGCCTTTGCTGCTACTGCCTTAAGGCTCTAGAAAGTCCAAGGTGACTAAGTACTGGAGCAGATCCCCAGCATAGCACTGCCACTCTGCAGAGAAATGGCCAGACTGTTTATTATGCAGGTCCCAGATCCCATTTTTCTTCATTCAGCAGGAGGTCCCAACCAGAAGCTCTACCCACTACCAGTTGGAAATATCAGGCCCCTAGCAGCTCCACACCTCCCTGGGACAGAGCTTCCAGAGAGAGAGGTGGGGTGTCATCTTTGCTTTCTTGCAGCCCTTGCTTTAGCTGCCTTCAGACTCTGGAGAGTCTGTGAGAATAAGGGGCTGGTGCCTACCCCTAGAACAGTGCAGCTGCTTAATGGAAAAGTGGCTGGCCTGTCTTCCATACAGGTCTCAGACATTACTTTTCCTCATTGGGAGGGGCTGCATGAACTGTGACTCCAGGATAACCACTTTGCTCCTACCTGATCACTTTAATCAAATGCGCTCAGCTTTTCTCCGAAGAGAAGATCCCAGAATCAACCCACAACTCCTCCAGCATTGCAGCTGCAGTGGTACCTTTTTAAGCTCCCACAGGCAGGGGAAGGAACAAAGGGCCTTGTCGCTATGCTGGCACCCCAAGTGCACAGCAGCCAACATATACAGAGAACTCCAGTCCCTCTACTCTGGGAACTCCCATCCCCCACTCTTCACCAGGCAGGGACCCCAGCTCAGGACTGCAGAACAGCCACCAAACTCATGGCTGAGAAAGCCCACTTGTTGTGGTTCTGAAATTCCCTGGGGAGAGGCTCCCAGAGGCAACCAACAGCTCCTCTGCCATTGCCACATCAGTGGTTCTGCCCCTGCTGCCTTTGCTCTGAGGAAGAAATAAAGAGCCTGAGGGCTACACCCAAGCTTACAGCATGCCACAATCACCACATTAAGAAGAGACCTGTCTCTCCTACCTGTGAGCCCTTGACCACTTGCTCCACAACAACCAGAACCCTCAGCTCAGGCCAGCAGTGCAGCCACACCACCCCCTGGTTGAACACTCCCAGTAGTAACGGCTTCATGTTTCTTGGAGGTGGAGTTCCCAGTGGCAACTGAAAGCCCATCTGCCACTGCCTCTGCAGTGATACTGCCCCTGCTCCCCTCAAACTGAGGAAAGTGCAAAGACCCTAAGTGCCTTATTAACACGTCCAGCAAGCTGCAATTACCTTAAGTAAAGGAGGCCAGTCTGTCTCCCACAGGTCCCATCTACCACCCCTGCTCATTGCCAGGCAGGGATTCCCTGGCTTGGACCCGCAGTGCAACCCCTTCCTTCTGGGATGACCACACTGATTAATTGCAGCTCTACGTCTCTCTGGAGTGTAGCTCCAGAAGAAAAGTGAAAGACCCTCGGGCACATTTACTGTCAGAGGATCTTTTCCTAGAGGTCTCTTCCTCTATTGCCTCCAAGTTGAGGAGGTAAGATGAACTCTGAGATCAACCCAGAGCTGTGGTGTGCAGCCTGGGTTTGCCAAGTCGTGATCTGCAGCCAGCATTCAAGTGAGAGAGAAGCCCACACTTTCAGAGCATTGAAAGAAAGCACAGCTGTAACTGTGAGGAACTACAGAGAAGTCACATGATTGAGCAAGAGCCTACCTACTGACAATTATGCTTAAGCGCCACCTACTGGATCATATCTGAAATGTTTAACAACAAAAATACTTTGCTTAAGTACTACCCTGTGAAATCAAAGATAACAAGTTAGCTTCAAATCAAAACCCTGTGCAAAGTGTTTGCTCTCTGGAAACATTGGGAAAAGAATTTTGCTGAATGTAGTCAATCTACACTGCAGTTAAAAGAACACTCATACAGAGACATAAGAAAGAACCAGCAAAATAAATCTGACAAGTCAAATGGCCAGAGTCTTCGAGTTTTCTGTCCTTGAAGTGACCATTCTAATTTTCCAGCAAGAGTTCTTAATAAGGATGAGATGTCTGTGATGAAATAAACAGAACTCAGAATATGGATATGAATGAAGATCATTGAGATTCACGAGAACATCAAAACTCAGTCAATGCAAGGAATCTAAGAATTACAAGAAGATGATACTGTAGCTGATATACAAAATAGCCAGCATAAAGAAGATACTAACTGATCTCATAGAGCTAAAAAAAAAAGAACTACAAGAATTTCATAACGCTATCACAAGTATTAACAGAAGAATAGACCAAGCCAAAAAAAGAATCTCAGAATTTGAAGACTGCCTCTCTGAAATAAGAGAGGCAGACAAAGGTTTTTTTTTTTAATGAAACCAAATGAAAAAAAAAAACTCGAGAAATATGGGATTATGTAAATGGACCAAATCTACAAATCACTGGCATACCTGAAAGAGACAGGGAGAAGGTAAGCAATGTTAAAAACTTATTTCAGGATATCTTTCATGAAAACTTTCTCAACCTCGCTAGAGAGGCCAACATTCAAATTAAGAAAATGCAGAGAACCTCTGTGAGATACTACACAACAAGATCTTCCCAAGACAAATAATCATTAGATGTCCGAAGGTCAAAATGAAAGAAAAATTGTAAATGACAGCTAGAGAGAAAAAGCAAGCCACCTGCAAAAGGGAACCCCATCAGGCTAACAGCAGACCTTTCAACAGAAACCCTACAATCCAGAAGAGATTGGGGGGCCTATATTCAACATTCTTAAAGAAAAAAAAGATCTCCAACCAAGAATTTCATATCCAGCCGAACTAAGACTTATAAGTAAAGAAGAAATAAAACTATTTTCAGACAAGCAAATGCCTGTTACTAGCAGACCTTTCTTACAAGAACTTCGGAAAGGAACACTAAATATGGAAAGGAAAGATTTTTACAAGGCACTACAAGAACACAGTTAAGTACACAGGCCGGTGACACCTTAAAGCAATCACACAAACAAGTTCACATAATAACCAGCTAACAACACGATGACAGAATCAAATCCACACATATCAATATTAACCTATAGTGTAAATGGTCTAAATGCCCCAATTAAAAGGCACAGAGTGACAAGCTGGATAAACAAGCAAGACCCAATCATATGCTGTCTTTAATCTCACGTACAGACACACATAGGTTCAAAATAGAAGAATGAAGAAAAATCTGCCAAGCAAGTGGAAAAGAGAAAAGCAGAAGTTGCAATCCTAATTTCAGACAATACAAATGTTCGACCAAAATTAAGCCAACAGGGATCAAGAAAGACAAGGGAGAGCATTATATGATGGTAATATTTTAAATTCAAAAAGAAGACCTAACTATTCTAAATATATATGCATCTATCCCAGGAGCACCTAGATTCATAGAGCAAGTTCGTAGAGACCTACAAGGTGAATTAGACTCCTACACAATAATAGTGGAAGACTTCAGTACCCCACTAAAAGTACTAGATAAATCATTGAGGCATAAAACTTACAAATATATTCAGGACCTAAAATAAACACTGGATCAAATGGACCTGATAGATTTCTAGAGAATTTGCCAGCCCCAGAAAGCAGAATATACATTCTCCTCATTGCCACCTGGCACATATCAACCCCTGTCTGAACACATCTAGTAGTAACGGCTACTCTAAACTCTAAATGGAACTCTAAATTGGAAATCACAATAGGACGTCAAACAATTAGCAAATGCAAAAGAACTAATATCAAACCAACCACTCTCAGACTACAGCAAAATAAAATTAGAAATCAAGGCTAAAAATATTGCTCAAAGCCATACAATTACATGAAAATTAAACAACCTGCTCGTGAATAACTTTGGGTAAGAAATGAAATTAAGGGAGGAATCAAGAAGTTATTTGAAACAAATGAGAACAAAGACGCAAGAACCCAGAATCTCTGGAACATAGCTAAGTCAGTGTTAAGAGGAAAAATTACAGCACTAAACACCCACATAGAAAAGTATGAGAGTTTTCAGGTTTACAACCTAATATAACATCTAAAAGAACTAAAGAACCAAGAGCAAACCAACTCCAAAGCTAGCAGAAGACAAGAAATAACCCAAATCAGAACTAAACTAAAGGAAACTAAAAAACAAACAAACAAACAACAACAACAAAAAAACATTTAAAAGATCAACAAATCCAGGAATTGGTTTTCTGAAAAATTTAATTAAATAGATAGACCACCAGATAGAAAAATAAAGAAGGGAAGAGAGAACATTCAAATAAACACAATTAGAAACATCAAGGGGGATGCTACCACTGATGCTAAGGGAATACAAGTAAACATCCCAGAATATTATGAACACCTCTATTCACACAAACTAGACAATTTAGAAGAAATGGATAAATTCCTGGGTACGTACAACTTCCCAAGACTGAAGCAAAAATAAATTGAATTCTTGAACAGTCCAATAACAAGCTCCAAAATTGAATCAGTAATAAGTAGACTAACAACCAAATAAAAGCCCAGGACCAGATAAATTTATGGCCATATTGTACTAGATGTACAAAGAAAAGTTGATAAAATTTCTACAGAAACCATTTCAAGTAATTGAGAAAAAGAAATTCTTCCCTAATTTATTCTATGAGGCAGCATCATCTTGATACCAAAACCTTGGAAAGATACAACAACAACAACAAAAAGAAAATGTTAGGCAAATATCCTGAATGAATGTCAATGCAAAAATCCTCAACAAAAAACTGGCTAACCAAATCCAGTAGCACTTCAAAAAGTTTATTCACCATGATAAAGTAGGCTTTATTCCTGGTATGCAAGGTTGGTTCAACTTATGCAAATCAATAAATGTGATTCTTCACATAAACAGAACTAAGGACAAAAATCACATGATTATCTCAATAGATTAACAGAAGGTTTTTGATAAAATTCAATATCCTCCATGTTAAAAACTCTCAACAAACTATGTATTGAAGAAATAAATCTCAAAATAATGAGTCATCCATGACAAGCCCACAGCTAACATCATACTGAATGGGCAAAAGCTGAAAGCATTGTCATTGAAAACTGGCACAAGGATGCCCTCTCTCACCCCTCCTATTCAAAATAGTATTGGAAGTCCTGTCCTGAGCAATCAGGTAAGAAAATGAAATAAAATACATCCAAATAGAAGGAAAGGAAGTCAAAGTAGCTCTCTTTGCACATAAGATGATTTTATACCTAGAAAACGCTATAGTCTCAGTCCAAAAGCTGCTTTAAGCTGATAAAAACAACTTCAGGACAGTCTCAGCATACAAAATCCATGTACAAATATCATTACCATTCCAAAACACCAACAACATTAAAGACAAGAGCCAAATATGCAATGCAATTCAATTCACAATCACCCCAAAAAGAATAAAATTCCTAAAAATTCAACAAACCAGAGAAATGAAAGATCTATTCAAGGGAAACTACAAAACAGTGCTCAAAAAAAAAAAAAAAAAATCAGAGATGACACAAATAAGTGGAAAAACATTCCATGCTCACGGATAGGAAGAATCAATATTATTAAAATGGTCATACTGCCCAAAGCAATTTAGAGATTCAATGCTAGTCCTATTGAACAAACAATTAAATTTTTCACAGAACTAAACCAAAAAAAAGTTTCAAAATTCATATGGGACAACAACAAACAGTGCTCGAATAGCCAAGGAAATAATAAGCAAAATGAAAGAAGCTGAAAGTATCACATTACCTGACTTCAAATTATGCTGCAAGGCTACAGTAACCAAAACAGCACGGTACTAGCACAAATACAGATACACGGGCCAATGGAACAGAATAGAGAGCCTCAAAATAGGGCCATACACCTACAACCATCTGATCTTTCCCAAAGCTGACAAAAAAAAAGCAATGCGGAAAGGGCTCCCTATTCAAGAAATGGTGTTGGAAAACTGGTTAGCCATATGCAGAATATTGAAACTGGACCCCTCCCTTACAGTGTATAGAAAAATTAATTAAAGATGGATTAAAGACTTAAATGTAAACCCCAACACTATAGAAACTCTGGAAGACAACCTAGGCAATATCTTTTGGGCATAGAAACAAGGAAAGATTTCACGAAGAAGCCAAAAGCAATTGCAACAAAAGCAAAAATTGACAAATGGGATCTAATTAAACTAAAGAGCTTCTGCAGAGCAAAGAAAACTATCAACAGAGTAAACAAACAACCTTCAGAATTGGAGAAAACATTTGCAAACTATGTATCTGACAAAGGTCTAATATCCAGCATCTATAAGGAACTTAAATTAGCAAGAAAAAAATAAACATTAAAAATTGAACAAAGGACAAGAAAAAAATCATTTTAAAGAGGAGACACCCATGAAGCCAAGTATGTGGAAAAAAAGAAGCTCAACAACACTGATCATTAGAGAAATACAAATCAAAACCACAATGAGATACCATCTCACACCATTCAGAATGGCGATTATTAAAAAGTGAAGAAACAGCAGATGGTTGTAATGTTGCAGGGAAAAAGGAATGCTTTTACACTGTTGGTGAGAATGTAAATTAGTGAAACCATTGTGAAATACAGTGTGGCCATTCCTCAAAGATCTAGAAGCAGAAATACCATTTGACCCTACAATACCAATACTGTGCATATACCCAAAGGAATATAAATAGTTCTGTTATAAAGACACATGCATAGGTATGTTCATTGCTGCACCATTCACAATAGCGAAGACACGGAATCAACCTAAATGCCTATTAATGGGAAACTGGATAAAGAAAATGTGGGTATGTATACACCACAGAATACTATGCAGCTACAATGAAGAACAAGATCATGTTCTTTGCAGGAACATGGATGGAGCTGGAACAGAAGAGCAAACACTTCATATTCTCACTTATAAGTGGGAGCTAAATTAGGAGAACACATGGACACAAAGAAGGGAACAACAGACACTGGGGCCTACCAGAGGGAGGAGGGAGAGGACCCGGAAAAGTAACTAATGAGTACTAGGCTTACTAGGTTTAATACTGGGTGACAAAATAATCTGTACAAAACACACCTATGACACAAGTTTACCCATATAACAAACCTGCACATGTACCACTGACCTTAAAAATTAAAGAAATATATATATATATTTACTTTATATATATAAATTATAGAAATATATATATTTACTTTATATATATTAAATATATATATATTTACTTTAGGATTGATGACAGTATAGTCTGAGACTGTACGCTCTCTTTTTACAATGCTATTTGCTATTCATGTATTATTTGATAAATTATTAAAAGAAACTAAATTTTCAATAAAGAATAAAAGAAAATAAATACAAATATGCTTTGACCCTTAACTCTCTGTATGTGGAATCCATCATACAGACTTTAAACATCAGTTGTTTTATAGTCATTAATTTATTGCTTTATTCAAATACATGTGTTAAAATCCTACTATTTGTCACTATCCTAGAAATTGAAGATAATTAGTGAAAAAAGATCCATGGTGAAAAAAGAGCTGGAATATTTATCAATATAAAAAGTTTTGTATAAATTGTTTTATATCCATACTATAGACTAAAGTGTGTGAACCTATTTGACTCTTCAATAGTTTTGGAAGGATATCTATGCCAAGCTGTTGACAGCCGTATGATAAAGCAGAACACAGAAACCTTGGGTAATTCTATCCCTAATAAAATTATTTGTAATTTACCTTTTCAAATTTGTTGGTTTCCATTTTAAACTATAAACATTGTTTTTAAAATTTCAAAGGAATGGCCGGGTGAGGTGGCGCACGCCTGTAAGCCCAGTACTTTGGGAGGCTGAGGCGGGTGGATCACCTGAGGTCAGGAGTTCGAAACCAGCCTGGCCAACATGGTGAAACCCCGTCTCTACTAAAAATACAAAAAATTAGCTGGGCATGATGCCACATGCCTGAAATCCCAGCTACTTGGGAGGCTGAGGCAGGAGAATTTCTGGAACTTGGGAGGCAGAGGTTGCAGTGAGATGAGATCGCGCCATTGCACTCCAGCCTGGGCAACAAGAGTGAAACTCCGTCTCAAAAAAAAAAAAAAGAAAAAAAAATCCAAGGACCGTCTTTGGGCTTATATTCTGAACTTTATGCTTTGCTTTCCTAATGCTTTATTCTCTGCGTCCTTTTAATAGCCAGAGGCTTATTAATATACAATATTTTTAGATGGCATACTGTGTTTCTAACCTATATATAATGTAAATTAGGTAACTAATTTCTAGTAAAAGAAAACATTTCATTTATGTATTATTAATTGACAAATAAAATTACAAGTATTTGTGAATACATATTGTGAAAAAATTATTCAAGGTGAGAACTGAATAGTCACACGTAAAAGTAGGTATTTCTGCTAAGTTTATTTAAAAACAAAGATCTGTTTATTTAAACGCATATATTATTTAGATAGTTTTTTTCTAATCATAGGCCACATCTACATTATGCAAATATCCAGAGAAACAGGAAAATGGAAAAATTGTAACCACATGCCCAGATGTAAGGCTACCCAATGTCAAACAGCTGGAAATAGCTGGAAGCCTGACCAAAAAGTTCAGTTTTTATCCAGATGTTTGGATTCACATAGTAGCAACCAAAGATGACATCCAAAGTCTAGTTATTTGATCTCTATATGAGAAAAAGCATGTCTACACAAAATGAATAACTCTACATTGATGGTATTTTGACAACTACCCTGTGACCACAATAAAAAAAAATAAACAGATTATTTGTGTTTGCCTAAGAACCACTTATCCTACAATAAGCTTTTATTTCAGGCCAGAATGAATGTAATCAACCCTATGCTCTTCTCACAAACTACTTCTGATACTCATGGATTTACATGGTCTAGGCATGGTCCAGGACATCTTCTAACTTACTTCTCTATGAGAAACTAATAATGCCTTCCCAGAATACCGTGTTTGAACCATTTCACAACTGTGAATCATTTTCTTTAACATGAAAATCCCCTTCAGTGGACACTATTATCCTTTGTCCTTTACAGTAGTTAATACATATCTTGTCAGTGGCCATTCATAGTATTTTTCCCAGCATCCTGTCCCTGTCCCAACCCTGAATGCCAATCATTTTCTGGAAACTTAACTGCTTTGTTTTTAGAATGTACTGTAACCAACCAAGGACCTGAAATCTCTCCTGTGGTTGTTTTCCAAACTTTAGGCCTTGAGAAACCTTCAACTCAAATATACACACCATTTGGCTTATGTCGAAGTACTCATCACTTCAGTGTACCCCTCCATGTCACCTCAGATATAAAATTATTTTACCTGTAACCCATAATATAAAACAAACTCTGAAATGTTCTAGCATAAAGCACTTAAAAATAGTAAATCTGCTTGAATTTTATACCAGCATAGAGATAAGTTTCATTCCTAGCTAAATTTTCCTGAAGAACTATAGTAAAAGTTAGCTGGCACATGTTTACAGATACATTTCTATAATAGACAAGCAGGACAATTGTTGATGAAAAATTAAGTCATTTAAGAAGACACTGAGGAAGATAAAGTATTTTGATAGTAGGGCTATTTCTTATGTGTAAAATAATAAAACTTTTGAATAATCTATTAGTGGTCTTGAAATTATTAATCAAGAGGAGACTTTGATGATTGATACCATTAGGTGAATCTGATGTTTTTGTTGATATAGTTATTTCATTTGAAAATATTATCTATAATTCTAAAAAATAATTAACAGCAGTTAAACTGGAGTTTTCAATATAGGTTGGCTATTTTTATTCTGCTTAATAGAAAAGATGATTAAATCAATATCACATGGAACATAATATGCCCTCCACACATACAATCCATTTAATGAGATAAATGTAGCTTTGTGTATACTATAGAGTTTGATGGCATTTAATTTTAGTTTTCTTTCTATTGTTATTTTAGAAAGAACATGTAATTTTTTAAAAATCTATTGAAAGTGATTTTATAACATAGCAAACTATATTTTTCCTATTCAATATTTTGCTCCCTTCATTTTTCCCCTGTATTTTGGTATAGCTTTTTTTATTCTTTGGTAACATTTATGTTGTACTTTATTTTTTTACTTCATTTTTATTTTTTATTTATGTTATATACAAAGAAATTTGGTTATTAATACTTTCTATATATAATACTTTATTCTGGCTTTGAAACCAGTATTTTAAATTACATTTATTTTAGAAGGCTTTTGTAAACTATTATTTACTCTTTATTTCTTGTCTTTATTTACAAGTGGCAGCTCAGTGATATTTACTTCCATTAGTTAATATGTTAAGAATATTTCAAATATAACTATAGCTTGGACGTCCTTAAATATGTGACTATAAAACTAGTCTTATGGTCTTCATTATCTGAATTTTTCAAAGTCTTAAATCAAAGCGGTTTAATCCTAAATGTTCTGTATAATTCCATCAATTCTCCCCTTGACTTGGTATAAGCAGACAATTTTTATGTCATAAAATGCAAACCTCATAGAAACATATTTTTACTCTGCAAAATATGCAGGAATATATATGTACTTTGCTCTCCATTTACCAAAGTCATTTATAGCCATATGCATTAGGTAAAAACAGGCATGCATATATTCATAATTATGCTTATGCTCTTCCAATACACACATTTTCTTCCTGCATAACAGTACATTACATTTTTTGGTAGTAATTGAATTGAGGACTTCTTTCAATCATTCCACATCATTTAATATTAATCTAAGCAACATAGTCTGCATCTCTTTTAATGCCGATTTTCAAAAATACTTAAGAGAAAAGAAACTTTAAAAATTCTAAGTCATTGTTCAATTTACACATTTTTTAATATCAGTCCACTTGCCAGTGACATACATAAATGTTTCCTGTGAACAGAATTAATTTTTAATTTTACTGAATCAGTGTTAACCAGGAAAAAGGTAATTGTTGTCAAGAGTATTCAAATTGTCAGAATATCCTTCAATCTAAAAGCTGTTAGAATCTGTGCAAAAGTAATTACTGAAACTCTATTCAACTGTAATAATAACCTGCCACTGATGACAGCAATTACTGGGAAAGCGTAATAGAAATCAAAGGCACATTTTTCTCTGACAAGTGCATTTCTAACTAACGTTTACATTGGCTGAATAGTGTTGACAATGATGATGTGCTGTATCATTCTTAATCACGGCTGGCATGATGTTACAGTTTGAACTGCTTACTGTTAGAAAGAGACTAATTGCTTGTTTCATTTGACACTGTCCAGGCTCTCTGTACATAGGAATATATATTTTAGATGAATAGCAGTTAAATGCTATCTTCCTTTGCCTGTTTTACATCCTTTTAATGTGTGAGTTTTAAGTACATTGTACCTCAAATAAAAGAAACTGATTGCAGTAAAGCCAAATTGGCAAGACAAATTTCTAAGATTTTTCAAAAGTTTGGTAACCCATAATTATGTCAAATTATGGAGGCTTTGTTTAATTCTTACCTTTAGCAGTGGTCATCTTCACTATCAGCCCTCTTGGACATGCTCCCTACCATATCTTGAAGTGACATAACAAGCATCCCCTTTCAAGGGATTGTCTGATATTACCACTAGTAACAACAACAACAAAACCTGAAGGAGGTATGAGATGGCCTACTGTCTTGAATCAATCTGAAGGTAAAACACTGTAGACAACGTTTTTTTCTTTCTCAAAAATAGAATAGATATGACAGAATTAAAAGAAAAGAAATATAAGCAAGTTTCACAGAGGAAGCAAGGAAAAGGTATCAAAATTTAAGAGTCTTCAATATAAATTAATATTTAACTTTTTTACAGTGTTCAATTGAATTGAATTTTCTTCATTAGTTGACTTCTAATGGAATTGTACATCAATTTTCCCTAACAGAATTATGAGAAAAACATAAATATTTAATAGGGGAAAATCATGTGGCCCTCTTTTTTGGTGCCCAGGACACAAAATAACATTTTGGATAAAGATACTTACATCTTGGGTTTTAGACTAGGCTCATTTTCGAGGACAAAGTTTTAAAACCAAACTAAGTGAATTGTTGCATGTTGTTATTTTTCTTTGTTCTAGACTTGACTCTGGAATGTTCTCAGTGAATTATGTTAGCTCAGTTCTTGTTAACAGTTTAATCAGGAACACTCAATTCAAGTAATTTAACAACTCTGGTATGTGAAACTATAGAATATAGGATGTAGAGGCTATGAAGAAAATAGAATCTGCAATCTCTGTAGATAAACAGCCAGTAAATAAACCATCTCTTAAACTGTTATGGGGACAAATTATGAGGATATATACATTCACTCTAATAACATTAGTTTCCATACATTTATTCACTGTGAATTAGAACAAGCAAAATAAATATTGGATGAAAATAATCAGTTTATTTTAGGACTCCAGGTTTTCAAAGCGGAAAATTTAATAAGATGTAAAGTTAGTCTAGCTGCAGTGGCTCATTCCTGTAACCTCAGCACTTTGGGAGGCCGAGGCAGGTGGATCACTTGAGGTCAGGTGTTTGAGACCAGCCTGGCCAACAGGGTGAAACCTTGTCTTTACTAAAAACACAAAAATTAGCTGCGTGTGGTGGTGGTGCCTATAATCTCAGCTACTCGGGAGGCTGAGGCAAGAGAATGGCTTGAACCAGGGAGGTTAAGGTTGTAGTGAGCTGAGATTGCACTGCTGCACTCCAATTTGTGTGACAGACTGAGACTGTGCCAAAATATAAAATAAAATAAAATAAAAATTTTGCATTCTATCTTATTTCTTTGAGCAGTGGTTTGTAGTTCTTCTTGAAGAGTTCCTTCACGTCCCTTGTTAGCTGTATTCCTAGGTATTTTATTCTCTTTTTAGTGATTGTGAATGGGAGTTCATTCATGATTTGGCTCTCTGCTTGTCTATTGTTGCTGTACAGGAATGCTTGTGATTTTTGCAAATTGATTTTATATCCCGAGACTTTGCTGCAGTTGCTTATCAGTTCAAAAAGTTTTTGGGCTGAGATGATGGGGTTTTCTGAATATAAAATAATGTCCCCTGCAAACAGACAACTTGACTTCCTCTCTTCCTATTTGAATATCCTTTATTTATTTCTCGTGCCTGATTGGCCTGGCCAGAACTTTCAATACTATATTGAATAGGCACGATGAGAGAGGGCATCCTTGTCTTGTACTGGTTTTCAAAGGTAATGCTTCCAGCTGTTGCCCATTCAATATGATATTGACTGTGGATTTGTCATAAATAGCCGTTATTATTTTGAAATATGTTCCATCAATACCTAGTTTATTGAGAGTTTTTAACATGAAGGGATGTTGAATTTTACCAAAGGACTTTTCTGCATCTATTAAGATAATCATGTGGTTTTTGTCTTTAGTTCTGTTTATGTGATGGATCATGTTTATTGATTAGCATATGTTGAACCAGCTTTGCATCGCAGGAATGAAGCCAACTTGATGGTGGTAGATAAGTTTTTTTGATGTGCTGCTAGATTTGGTTTGCCATTATTTTATTGGGGGTTTTCACATCGATGTTCATCCGGGATATTGGCCTGAATTTTTCTTTTTTGTCATTGTGTCTCTTCCCGATTTTGGTGTCAGGATGATGCTGGCTTCAAAAAGTGATTTAGGGAGGATACCCTCCTTTTCAATTGTTTGGAGTAGCTTCATAAAGAATGGTACCAGCTCCTCTTTGTGTTTCTGGTAAAATTCAGCTGTGAATATGTCTGGTCTTGGTCTTTTTTTGGTTGGTAGCCTATGAATTACGGCCTCAATTTCAGAGCTTGTTATTGGTCTATTCAGGGATTCAACTTCTCCCTGGTTTAGTCTTGGTAGTATGTGTGTGTCCAGGAATTTCTCCATTTCTTCTAGATTTTTTCAGTTTATTTCCATAGAGGTGTTTGTAGTATTCTCTGATGGTAGTCTATATTTCTGTGGGGTCAGTGGTGATAGCCCCTTCATCATTTTTTATTGTGTTTATTTGATCCTTCTCTCTCTTCTTTATTAGTCTAGCTAGTGGTCTATTTTGTAAATTTTTTAAAAAAAACTAGCTTATGATTTCATTTGTTTTTTGAAGTTTTTTTTTGTGTGTCTGTATCTCCTTCAATTCTTCTTTGATCTTAGTTAGTTCTTTTCTTCTGCTAACTTTTGGATTAGTTTGCTCTTGCCTCTCTAGCTCTTTTAATTGTGATGTTAGGGTATTGATTTGAGATCCTTCTAGCTTTCTGATGTAGGCGTTTAGTGCTATAGATTACCCTCTTAACACTGCTTTATCTGTGTCCCAGAGATTCTGGTACATTGTATCTTTGTTCTCATTGGTTTCAAAGAACTTCCTGATTTCTGCATTAATTCCATTATTTACCTAGGAGTCATTCAGGAACTGGTTGTTCGATTTCCATGAAATTGTGTAGTTTTGAGTGAGTTTCTTAATCCTGAGTTCTAATTTGATTGCACTGTGGTCTGAGAGACTGTTTGTTATGATTTCAGTTCTTTTGCATTTGCTAAGGAGTGTTTTACTTCCAATTATGTGGTCATTTTATAATAAGTGCTATACTCATCAAATTATCATTGACATTCTTCAGAGAATTCAAAAAAATTATAAATTTCATATGGAATCAAAGAAGACCCTATATAGCCAAGAAAATCCTAAGCAAAAAGCAAAGCTGGAGGCATCATGCTACCTGAATTCAAACTATATTATAAGGCTACAGTAACCAAAACAGCATGGCACTGCTAACAAAGCAGACATACAGACCAATGGAGCAGAACAGAGACCTCAGAACTAATATCACACATCTACAACCATCTGATCTTTGACAAGCCTGACAAAAACAAGCAATGGGGAAAGGATTTCCCATTCAGTAAATAGTGCTGGGAAAACTGGCTAGCCATATGCAGAAAAAAGAAACTGGGCCCATTCCTTACACCTTATACAAAAAATTAACTCAAAATGAATTAAAGACTTAAATGTAAAATCCAAAACCATAAAAACCATAGAAGAAAACCTAGGCAATAACACTCAGGTCATAGGCATTGGCAAAGACTTCATGACAAAAAATGTTGAAAGCATGGGCAACAAAAGCCAAAATTGACAAATGGGATCTAATTAAACTAAAGAGCTTCTGCACAGCAAAACAAACTGTCACCAGAGTGAACAGGCAACCTACAGAAGGGGAGAACATTTTTGCAATCTACTCATCTGAGAATGTATAATATCCAAAATTTACAAGAAACTTAAACATATTTACAAGAAAAAACAAATAACCCCATCAAAAAGTGGGCAAAGGACATGAACAGACATTTCTCAAAAGAAGACATTTACATGGCCAACAAACATGAATAAAAGCTCAACATGATTGATCATAAGAGAAATGTAAATCAGAACCACAATGACATAACATCTAACACCAGTCAGAATGGCAATTACTAAAAAGTCAGGAAACAATGGATGCTGGTGAAGCTGTGGAGAAATAGGAATGCTTTTACACTGTTGGTGGGAATGTAAATTACTTCAATCATTGAGGAAGACAGTATGGCGCTTCTTCAAGGATCTAGAACCAGAAATACCATTTGACCCAAAGGAATAGAAATCATTCTACTGTAAAGACACATGCACATGTATGTTTATTGCAGCACTATTTACAATAGCAAAGACATGGAACCAACCCACATTTCCATCAATAATAGGCTCAATAAAGAAAATGTGGTACATGTACACCATGGAATGCTATGCAGCCAAAAAAAGGAATGGGATTGTGTCCTTTGCAGGGACATGGATGAAACTGGAAACTGTCACCCTCAGCAAACTAACACAGGAACAGAAAACTAAATACGGCCTATTCTCACTCATAAGTGGGAGTTGAACATTGAGAACACATGGATACAGAGAGGGAAACAATACACACCAGGGCCTGTTGGGGGGTTGGGAAGGGAGGGGAGGGAACTTAAAGGATGGGTCACTAGGTGCAGCAAAACACCATGGCAAATGTATACCTATGTAACAAACTTGCACGTTCTGCACATGTATCCCATTTTTTTAGAAGAAATAAATAAAAAATAATAATAAATAAATAAATTTTAAAAATAAAAGTAAACCATGATTTCGCTACAATTTTAAAGACATTACCTACATTAAAGGGGACAATAATTGTTTCTTCTTTTTTTTTTTTTGACATAACATAAATTATAGATAGGGAAGCAACATAAAACTGGGCTATAGAAAACCCGATTTATATTCACAGTTGTGATAACTATCACTATATGAATTGGGGGAAATCAAAGTTTAGTGTTAAAGCCCAGCCCCCCAAAAAGAAATGATCATATATAGTATAGTAATGACATGCTGGACAGTTTTAGTCCATGCTCAGTGAACAGAAAGCATTAACTGACTAGGAAACTTTAAGCTTGGGAGGGAAATGAAGGCCCTCTCAGTAATTGCTGCTCTATCCAGCATGCTTTAACTTGTTTCAAATCTTCTTAATAGCAGATATGCTGTTTGAACCAACAATGCCAAGATTAAAAAAATATTTTTTTGATAGATTACTCTTCGTTTATAATCCTAGCATCCATTGTATTTTTAAATTTATGATTAAAACCCTCAGGAAAATTGGCATAGAAGGTCCATACTTTAAGGTAATTAAAGCCATCTATGAAAAACCCATAGCCAACATTATACTAAATGGGGAAAAGCTGAATACACTCCCATAAGAACTGGAACAAGACAAGGAAGCCCATTTTCACCACTTCTATTCAACATAGTTCTGAAAGTCCTAGCCAGAGCAATCAGAAAAGAGAAAGAAATAAAGGGCATCCAAACTTATAAAGAGGAAGTAAAAGAATTGCTGTTCACCAATGATATATTTGTATATCTATATAACCCTAAAGACTCATCCAAAAAGCTCCTAGATCTGATAAATATATTCAGTAAAGTTTCAAGATGCAAAATCAATATACACAAATCAGTAACACTGGTATACAACAACAACGACAAAGCTGAGAGTAAAATACAGAACTCAATCCCTTTGCTGCAAAAACAGTAGAATACTTAAAAAGATACCTAACCAAGGCAGTGAAAGTTCTCTACAAAGTAAACTACAAAACACTGCTGAAAGAAGTTGTTGACACAAACAAATGGAAACACATCCCATGCTCATAGATGGGTAGAATCAATATTGTGAAAATGACCATACTGCCCAAGGCAATCTACAGATTCAATGCAATTCTCATCAAAAATACCATCATCATTATTTACAGAACTAGAAAAAGCAGTCCTAAAATATATATGAAACCAAAAATGAGCCTGCATAGCCAAAGCAACACTAAGCAGAAAGAACAAATCTGGAGGCATCATATTACTCAACTTCAAACTATACTACAAGGCTATAGTTACCAAAACAGCATGGTACTGGTATGAAAATGGGTATGTAGACCAGTGAAACAAAATAGAGAACCCAGAAATAAAGCCAAGTATTTAAAGCCAGCTGATCTTTGACAAAGCAAACAAAAACACAAACTGGGGAAACTCCATATTCAACAAATGGTGCTAACACAATTGGCAAACCACATGTACAAGAATTAAATTGGATCCTCATCTATCACCTTAATACAAAATCAAGTCAAGATGGATCAAAGTCTTAAATCTAAGACCTGAAACTATAAAAATTCTGCAGCTTTCTTTTTTATTATTATTATTGTTCTTTAAGTTTTAGGGTACATATGCACAATGTGCAGGTTAGTTACATATGTATACATGTGCCATTTTGGTGTGCTGCATGCATTAACTCGTCATTTAGCATTAGGTATATGTCCTAATGCTATCCCCCCTCCCCCCACCCCACAACAGTCCCCAGAGGGTGATGTTCCCCTTCCTGTGTCCATGTGTTCTCATTATTCAATTCCCATCTATGAGTGAGAACATGCAGTGTTTGGTTTTTTGTCCTTGCGATAGTTTCCTGAGAATGATGATTTCCAATTTCATCCATGTCCCTGAACTCATCATTTTTTATGGCTGCATAGTATTCCATGGTGTGTATGTGCCACATTTTCTTAATCCAGTCTATCATTGTTGGATATTTGGGTTGGTTCCAAGTCTTTGCTATTGTGAATAGTGCTGCAATAAACATATGTGTGCATGTGTCTTTATAGCAGCATGATTTATAGTCCTTTGGGTATATACCCAGTAATGGGATGGCTGGGTCAAATGGTATTTCTAGTTCTAGATCCCTGAGGAATCGCCACACTGACTTCCACAATGGATGAACTAGTTTACAGTCCCACCAACAGTGTAAAAGTGTTCCTATTTCTCCACATCCTCTCCAGCACCTGTTGCTTCCTGACTTTTTAATGATTGCCATTCTAACTGGTGTGAGATGGTATCTCATTGTGGTTTTGATTTGCATTTCTCTGATGGCCAGTGATGATGAGCATTTTTTCATGTGTCTTTTGGCTGCATAAATGTCACAGACTGGCAAATTGGATAAAGAGTCAAGACCCATCAGTGTGCTGTATTCAGGAAACCCATCTCACGTGCAGAGACACACATAGGCTCAAAATAAAAGAATGGAGGAAGATCTACCAAGCAAATGGAAAACAAAAAACGGCAGGGGTTGCAATCCAGTCTCTGATAAAACAGACTTTAAACCAACAAAGATCAAAAGAGACAAAGAAGGCCATTACATAATGCTAAAGGGATCAATTCAACAAGAAGAGCTAACTATCCTAAATATTTATGCACCCAATACAGGAGCACCCAGATTCATAAAGCAAGTCCTGAGTGACCTACAAAGAGACTTAGACTCCCACACAATAATAATGGGAGACTTTAACACCCCACTGTCAACATTAGACAGATCAATGAGACAGAAAGTTAACAAGGATACCCAGGAATTGAACTCAGCTCTGCACCAAGCGGACCTCATAGACATCTACAGAACTCTCCAACCCAAATCAAAAGAATATACATTTTTTCAGCACCACACCACACCTATTCCAAAATTGACCACATAGTTGGAAGCAAAGCTCTCCTCAGCAAATGTAAAAGAATAGAAATTATAACAAGCTGTCTCTCAGACCACACTGCAATCAAACTAGAACTCAGGATTAAGAAACACACTCAAAACTGCTCAACTACATGGAAACTGAACAACCTGCTCCTGAATGACTACTGGGTACACAATGAAATCAAGGCAGAAATAAAGATGTTCTTTGAAACCAATGAGAACAAAGACACAACACACCAGAATCTCTGGGACATGTTCAAAGCGGTGTGTAGAGGGAAATTTATAGCACTAAATGCCCACAGGAGAAAGCAGGAAAGATCCA
The DNA here is from genome assembly GCF_000001405.40 of Homo sapiens. Lineage (NCBI taxonomy): Eukaryota > Metazoa > Chordata > Mammalia > Primates > Hominidae > Homo > Homo sapiens. Next base: position 82,200,951 of record NC_000023.11, on the reverse strand, counting down.
GAATTGACACCCTAACATCACAATTAAAAGAACTAGAAAAGCAAGAGCAAACACATTCAAAAGCTAGCAGAAGGCAAGAAATAACTAAAATCAGAGCAGAACTGAAGGAAATAAAGACACAAAAAACCCTTCAAAAAATTAATGAATCCAGGAGCTGGTTTTTTTAAAGGATCAACAAAACTGCTGGCAAGACTAATAAGAAAAGAGAGAAGAATCAAATAGATGCAATAACAAATGATAAAGGGAATATCACTACCGATCCCACAGAAACACAAACTACCATCAGAGAATACTATAAACACCTCTACACAAATAAACTAGAAAATCTAGAAGAAATGGATAAATTCCTTCACACATACATTCTCCCAAGACTAAACCAGGAAGAAGTTGAATCTCTGAATAGACCAATAACAGGAGCTGAAATTGTGGCAATAATCAATAGTTTACCAACCAAAAAGAGTCCAGGACCAGATGGATTCACAGCCGAATTCTACCAGAGGTACAAGGAGGAACTGGTGCCATTCCTTCTGAAACTATTCCAATCAATAGAAAAAGAGGGAATCCTCCCTAACTCATTTTATGAGGCCAGAATCATCCTGATACCAAAGTCTGGCAGACACACAACCAAAAAAGGGAATTTTAGACCAATATCCTTCATGAACACTGATGCAAAAATCCTCAATAAAATACTGGAAAACCGAACCCAGCAACACATCAAAAAGCTTACCCACCATGATCAAGTGGGCTTCATCCCTGGGATGCAAGGCTGGTTCAACATACACAAATCAATAAATATAATCCAGCATATAAACAGAACCAAAGATAAAAACCACATGATTATCTCAATAGATGTAGAAAAGGTCTTTGACAAAATTCAACAACCCTTCATGCTAAAAACTCTCAATAAATTAGGTAAATAAACTCTCAATAAATTAGATACGTATGGGACGTATCTCAAAATAATAAGAGCTATCTATGACAAACCCACAGCCAATATCATACTGAATGGGCAAAAACTGGAAGCATTCCCTTTGAAAACTGGCACAAGACAGGGATGTCCTCTCTCACCACTCCTATTCAACATAGTGTTGGAAGTTCTGGCCAGGGCAATTAGGCAGGAGAAGGAAATAAAGGGTATTCAATTAGGAAAAGAGGAAGTCAAATTGTCCCTGTTTGCAGATGACATGATTGTATATCTAGAAAACCCCATTGTCTCAGCCCAAAATCTCCTTAAGCTGAAAAGCAACTTCAGCAAAGTCTCAGGATACAAAATCAATGTACAAAAATCACAAGCATTCTTACACTCCAATAACAGACAAACAGAGAGTCAAATCATGAGTGAACTCCCATTCACAATTGCTTCAAAGAGAATAAAATACTTAGGAATCCAACTTACAAGGGACGTGAAGGACCTCTTCAAGGAGAACTACAAACCACTGCTCAGTGAAATAAAACAGGATACAAACAAATGGAAGAACATTCCATGCTCATGGATAGGAAGAATCAATATCGTGAAAATGGTCATACTGCCCAAGGTAATTTATAGATTCAATGCCATCCTTATCAAGCTACCAATGACTTTCTTCACAGAATTGGAAAAAACTACTTTAAAGTTCATATGGAACCAAAAAAGAGCCCGTATCTCCAAGTCAATCCTAAGCCAAAAGAACAAAGCTGGAGGCATCACGCTACCTGACTTCAAACTATACTACAAGGCTACAGTAACCAAAACAGCATGGTACTGGTACCAAAACAGAGATATAGATCAATGGAACAGAACAGAGCCCCCAGAAATAATGCTGCATATCTACAACTATCTGATCTTTGACAAACCTGAGAAAAACAAGCAATGGGGAAAAGATTCCCTATTTAGTAAATGGTGCTGGGAAAACTGGCTAGCCATATGTAGAAAGCTGAAACTGGATCCCTTCCTTACACCTTATACAAAAATTAATTCAAGATGGATTAAAGACTTAAATGTTTGACCTAAAACCATAAAAACCCTAGAAGAAAACCTAGGCAATACCATTTAGGACATAGGCATGGGCAAGGACTTCATGTCTAAAACACCAAAAGCAATGGCAACAAAAGCCAAAATTGACAAATGGGATCTCATTAAACTAAAGAGCTTCTGCACAGCAAAAGACACTACCATCAGAGTGAACAGGCAACCTACAAAATGGGAGAAAATTTTTGCAACCTACTCATCCGACAAAGGGCTAATATCCAGAATCTACAATGAACTCAAACAAGTTTACAAGAAAAAAACAAACAACCCCATCAAAAAGTGGGCAAAGGATATGAACCGACACTTCTCAAAAATTCTGCAGCTTTCAAGGCATTTAATCAATCATCTGTTTTATATTCAGATGCTTTAGAGAGTTTGAGATAGCATCACTTTTTAATAAATATACAGCCTCTCTCTTAAGGCTTCAGGCATGAGAACAAATATAAATTATACTTTGTGTTGCAGCACTACTACTAAGATTAACACAAGGCTAGGCATGTAGTTGGTATTTAATAAACTTACGTTGACTTATGTACATAGCAGTCACTTTGAAATGACCCCCACCACCTTTAGAGTCAGGGATAGTATAGTTTAAATAGTTTCTGAAATAGTATAATATGGGAAAATACTGGATTGAGAAGTCATCTAAAGTCTCTCCTTGATTCCTTGGAGAATTAGTTTACAAACTCTGTAAAGGTACACTTTATCTCCTTTCTTTACATTCCAATTTTGCCACATTCAGAACACATTCACAACAAAATTTGAAACTTTAGATGTTGCTTCCTCCATGTATGGGAGTTTTTAGAATGTAAAATCCCTCAGTATGTGGGCAACTCTGAGGTTAATATTGCCCGGGCCACTTCCATAGAATTTAGTTTAGTGGTATTAGTTGTCAATTTAAATAGCTCCCTGTTGAGACAGGAGCACTTGTCTTCTGGAAATTTACAAGTCTCATTTCTTTTATTGTCCCTTCACATAGAAGAGACATAGAAAGTGTGACTGTATCAGCAAAACCTTTAACTTTAAAGGAAAAGGTAACTTAAAACATAATGCCTAGTAGAACTCATCATGGTCATAAACACTAAGTGCAAGGGAGAAGCACATGAACAAAATTTCAAGAGCTGTGCAAACTTCGGTAATTAGCAGAGGCCTCCAGAGAAAATCTGTTTATTATAATTACAGAGAAACCCTAAAAACACATTAGAAAAACCCACTAAGGGCTGGGCGCAGTGACTCATGTCTGTAATCACAGCACTTTGGGAGGCTGAAGCAGGTGAAACACCTAAGGTCAGGAGTTTGAGACCAGCCTGGCCAACATGACAAAACTCTCTCTCTCTCCATGCCTGTAATCCTAGCTACACAGGAGGTTGAGGCCTGAGAATTGCTTGAACTCAGGAGGAGGAAGTTGCAGTGAGCTGAAATCATGCCACTGCACTCCAGCCTGGGCAACAGAGTAAGACTCCATCTAAAAATGAATACAATTTTTTAAAAAGGAAGCCCACTAAGTACCTTCAAAATATATATGTTTGTATTGAGCAGTGTTTCTTTGAGAAGGTTTAGAGTCCTGAACCAGTAGAAATAGTAAGACACAGAGAAGTGGCCACTGGCACAAAACTAGGCATGTAGAACAGTGAACCCACCCTCACCCTGAGTGTTTATTGTCACCTTCATAAATACACGCAGAGGGTGCACATAGTCCTGTGTCCACCAGCAACCCAACCCTGTGCTAACACCACTACCAGCACAAATGCATGCACAGAGACTGTCAGGCACCTCCTACCCTCAGCACTGTGCTGCCATTGCCACTGCAGCAAATGCCTGCACAAAGGCCAGCACCACAGTACCTGTTAGCATGCCAATGCTATGAGTGTGCACTCAACTATACCACTGTTGACACTACTTCTGCTATGAGCAAACAAGGATGGGTCCCACTGCCACTGCCCTACAAAAACACTTGGCTGGTACCACCAATTGCAGTATTGTGAACAGCAGTCTGGGAGCACATTACCCCCTGCTCCCCAGCCAGGAGAAATAATCTGGGCCACAATACTTGTCCCTGAGAGTTAGGGCATGTAGTCCAAAACTCCTGAGAAGAGCAATGAATCCAGTTGACTGTACACACCTTATACCACAATTAAATCTTCAAGGTCATCAAGTAAGGTAAAAGAAAATTTAGTAAATAAAAAATGATCCAAAGGACAGCAACTTCAAATACTATAATAATATCATCCAGCAAACATGAGAAAGAATCAGTGCAAAATCTCTGACAACTCAGAAGGGCAGAGTGCCTTCTTTTCTCTAAACAACCACACTAGTTCACCAGCAAGGGTTCTTTACCAGGCTGATATGGCTGAAATGATAGAATTCCAAACATGGATAGAAATAAATATCATCAAGATTCAGGAGATGTTGAAACCCAATTTAAGGAAGCTAAGAATCAGAGTAAAACAATACAAGAGGAGACAGATAAAATAGCCAGTATAGAAAATAATGTAACCAAACTGATAGAGCTAAAACACATGCTACAAGGATTTCATAACACAATCACAGGCATTAAAAGCAGAAATAGATCAAGGAGAGGGAAAAATCTCAGATGCTAAAGATTAGCCTTCTGAAATAAGATGATCAGACAAAAATAAAAAGAAGAATAAAAAGGAATAAACAAAGCCTCAAAAATATGAGATTATGGAAGGAGACCAAATCTATGACTCATTGGTATCTCTGAAAGGCATGGGGAGAATGAAAGCAGCTTGGAAAAAATATTTTAAGATATCATCTATGGAAATTTGCCTACCCTACCTATAGAAGATAACACTCAAATTCAGGAAATTCAGAGAACCCCTGCAAACTACTTTACAACAATATCATCCTCAAGACAAATAATCATCAGATTCTCTAAGGTCAAAATGAAAAAAAAAATGTTAAATGCAGCTAGAGAGAAAGGACAGGTCACCTACAAGGGAAGTCCATCAGTCCAATAGTAGATTTCTCAGCAGAAACTGTACAAGCCAGAAAAGATTTTGGGCCTATGTTCAACACCGTTAAAGAAAAGAAATTTCAACCAAGAATTTCATATCTGGCTAAACCAAGCTCCATAGCAAAGAAGAAATAAGATCCTTTTCAGACAGGCAGGTGCTGAGGGAATTCGTTACCATCAGACCTGTCTTTCAGGATCTCCTGAAAAAAGGCACTAAACATGGAAAAGAACTACTATTTCCAGCCACTATAATAACACAGTTAAGTACACAGACCAGTGACACTATAAAGCAACCACACAAACTAGTCTGCATAATAACCAGCTAACAACACAATGACCAGATCAAATTCATATATATCAATACTAACCTTAAATATCAACAGGCCAAATGGCCTAATTAAAAGGCACAGAGTGGTCAGCTGGATAAGCAAACAAGACCCAATGGTATGCTGTGTTTAAGAGACCAACCTCACATTCAATGACAGCCATGGGCTAAATATAAGGAGACTGAAAAAATCTACCAAGCAAATGAAAAAGAGAAAAATCAGGGCTTGCATTCCTAATTTCAGGCAAAACAGATTTTAAACCAACAAAGTTCAAAAAAGACAAGAAATAGCATAACATATTGGTAAAGGATTCAATTCCACAAGAAGACCCAACTTTCCTAAATATACATGCAACCAAAATAGGAGAACCTAGGTTCATAGAGCGAGTTCTTAGAGACCTACAAAGAGACTTAGATTACTACACAATAATAGTGGGAGACTTCCACAATCCACTGATAGTATTAGATCATCGAGGTAGAAAATTAACAAAGATATTCAGGACCTGAACTCAGTACTGAACGAAATGGACTTGATATATATCTACAAAACTCTCCCCACCGCCCCTCAAAAAAAAAGAATATACATTATTTTCATTGACACATTGCATATACTCTAAAATTGACCACACGATCAGACATAAAACAATCCTTAACAAATGAAAAAAGAATCAAAATTCTACCAACCACTCTTTCGGCAACAGAGCAATACAATTTGAAATCAACCCTAGGAAAATTGCTCAAAGCCATACAGTTACATGGAAATTAACCTCCCCTTGAATGACTTTGAGGTAAATAATAAAATTTAGGCAGAAATCAAGAAGTTCTTTGAAACTAACTAGCACAAAAATACAACAAACCAGAATATCTGGGACACAGCTAAGGCAGTGTTGAGAGAAGATTTTATAGCATTAAATGCCCACATTAAAAGGTTAGAAAGATCTCAAATTAACTGCCTAACTTCACACACACACAAAAAAAAACTAGAGAAGCAAGAGCAAACCAACCCCAAAGCTAGCAGGAGACAAGAAATAACCAAAATTAGAGCTGAACTAAAGAAAAATTGAGACATGAAAAAACATTCTAAAAATCAATGAATTCAGCAGTTGGCATTTTTAAAAAATTAATAAGATAGGCCACTAGTTAGAGTAACAAAGAAGAAAAGAGAAAATCCAAATGAACTCAATTAAAAAATGACAAGGAGGATGTTACCACTGATTCCACAGAAATACAAATAACTATCTGAGATTATTGTGAACCTCTCTTTCCACACAAACTATAAAATATGGAAGAAATGGATAAATTCCTGGAAACATTTACTTTGCAAAAACTAAACAAGGAAGAATTTGCATCTCTGAACATAACAATGATTAACTCCAAAATTGTATCAGTAATAAATAACATCATTCTGATACCAAAACTTGGCAGAGGCACAACAAATGAAAACTTCAGGCCAATATCCTTGATGGACACTGATGCAAAAATCCAAAAAATAAATAAATAAATAAAACAACCACAACAACAAACTGGCAAACCAAATCCAGCAGCCCATCCAAAAGCTAATCCACCACAATCGAGTAGGCTTTTACTCAGGGATGCAAGGATTTTGCCACATATGCAAATCAACAAATTTGATCCATCACATAAACAGAACTAAAGACAACAATTATATGATTATCTCAACAGATGCAGAAAAAGCTTTTGATAAAATTCAACATCCCTTCATGGTAAATACCTCTCAATAAACTAGGTATTGAAAGAACATACCTTAAATAATCAGAGACAGCTATGACACATCCATAGCCAACATTATACTGAATGGGAAAAAGTTGGAAGCATTCACTCTGAAAACTGAAAAAACAAGGATGCCCTCTCTTATCACTCATATTGAACATAATATTGGAAGTCCTGGACAGAGCAATAGGCAAAAGAAATAAATAAAACACATCCAAATATAAAAATAGAAAGTAAAACTATCCCTGTGTGCAAACAACATGCTTTTATAGCTAGAAAAACTCATAGTCTTGGCCCAAAAGCTCCTTTAGCTTACAGACAACTTCAGCAAAGTGTCAAGATAAAACATCAATGTACATAAGTCACTAACATACCTATACACCAACAACAGCCAAACTGAGAATCAAATCAGAAATGTAATTCCATTAATAATTACCATGGAAAGAATAAAATACCTGGGAATACAGTTAACTAGAAAGGTGAGTGATCTCTACAATGAGAATTACAAAGCACTGCTCAAAGAAATTAGAGATGACACAAACAAATGGAAAAACATTCTATGCTCATGGATAGGAAGAAACAATATCATTAAAATGGCCATGCTTTGCAAAGCAATTTATAGTTTCAATGCTATTCCTATCAAAATAACAAATACATTCCTCACAGAACTAGAAAAAAACTATTTTAAAATTTATATAGAACCAAAAAGGATCCCAAAACAGCCAAGGCAATCTTAAGCAAAAGGAACAAAGCTGAAGAAATCAGGCTACCCACCTTCAAACTATACTACAGAGCTACGGGAACCAAAACAGAATGATACTGGTATCAAAACAGACACATAGAGCAATGGAACAGAATAGAAAACCCAGTAATAAGGCTGCATACCTACAACAATCTGATCTTAGACACAGCTAACAAAAATAAGCAATGAGGTAAGGACTCCCTGTTCAATAAGTCGTGCTGGGATGACTGGCTAACCACATGCAGAAGATTTAAATTGTATCCCTTCTTTACACCATATACAAAAGTCAACTCAAAATGAATTAAAGACTTAAATGTAAATTGCAAAACTATAAACACCCTGCAAGACAATCTAGGCAATACCATTTTGGACATAGGAACTGGCAAAGATTTTATAATGAAGATATCAAAAGCAATTGCAACAAAAACCAACATTGACAACTCATTTAAAAATAGACCAAAGACATGAGCAGACACTTTTCAAAAGCAGACATACATGTGGCCATAGAACATATGAAGAAAGCTCAGTATCACTGATCATTAGATAAATATATATCAAAACCACAGTGAGCTGCCATGTCACACGGGTCAGAATGGCTATTATTAAAAAGTCAAAAACTAGCAGATGCTGGTGAGGTTGTGGAGAAAAGGGAGCACTTATACACTGTTGGGAGGAGTGTAAATTTGTTCAACTATTGTGGAAAGAAGTGTGGTGGTTCCTCAAAAAGCTAAAAACAAAACTACTATTTAATCCAACAATCCCACTACTGGATATATTTCCAAAGGAATATGAAGTTTTGTATCATAAAGACACATGCACATGTGTGTTTATTGCAGCGCTTTCACAATAGCAGGCATGGAAACAAACCTTTATTCAGTCTTCTTCAGTTGAAGACTGAATAAAGAAAATGCAGTACATATACACCATGAAATACTATGCGGCCAGAAAAAATAATGATATAATTTCCTTTGCAGGAATATCAATGGAGCCAGAGGCCATTATTCTTAGAAAACTAACACAGGAACAGAAAACCATATACTATATGCTCTCACTTATAAGTGGGAGTTAAATGAGGAGAATACATGGATACATGGTGGAGAACAAAACCTGCTGAGGGGTAGATAGTGGGAAGAGGGAAAAGAGAAAAAAGATAACTACTGAGAACTAGGACTAGGGTCTGGGTGAAAAAAATAATCTGTACAACAAAGCCCTGTGACACGTCTTTACCTATTAAACCTGCACATGCACACCTGAACCTAAAATTTATATTTTAAAAAAATAATTTTAAAAAGAAAAGAAGTCTTTGGGAAAATATATTTAATAAACAACATAATAGCAATACTTATTACTAACTATATATTGAGCCAGTGTCTTCACATGTTAACTTTTATAATATTTATAATTTTTCAAAAATAAGTATTTATTTTTATGAATAAATTTATGAAAGGCATTATGTATGTTTCATTCTTTTTGTTTTATTTATGTGAAATGAGTTTTTGTGTCAAAAATTACCAAATATAAAGGAAAGATATCTTTGAATATTTTGTTATTATAAGTTTTACCCTTAATTATTTCCTGTTGAGAAAGTTTTTTCAACAATAGTAAATAGATACCATTAAAAAAACCAGAGAATTATAATTTATTGTTTTTGCAGTTTTTCATTTGTTTGTTTTGAGAGAGTCTCATTCTGTCACCGAGGCTGGAGTGCAGTGGCACAATCTCGGCTCACTGCAACCTCCACCTCCTGGGTTCAAGCGACACTACTGTCTCAGTCTCCCGTGTAGCTGGGATCACAAATATGTACCATCATGCCTTATTAATTTTTCTATTTTTAGTAGAGATAAGATTTCACCATGTTGGCCAGGCTGGTCTTGAACTCCTGGCCTCAAGTGCTCCACCCACCTCGGCCTCCCAAAGTGCTGGGATTACAGGCATGAGACACCACACCCGGACAATTTATTGTTATTATTATTTATATAATATGTTTTTTCCTTCACCTCAATGTTTATGATCTGAAGAAAGATGTGTAACTGGAAAATATCCAGTCAGTCACCATGTCCTGAAAATGTGCCTTTGATAGCATCTGCCATAGCTATCCATTGTTCTCCATTTTTACTGCTCTTGCTCTAATTCCGGCCCTCTTCAAATTTGACTGGTGTTATTACAACAAACTGTAAATTAACCTTTCTCCTTTCTATCTTCTCTTGCTCCAATCCATTTTGCACACTTCCAGCTGGGTCACTTATAATTGTCCCCCACTATTTAGAAGGTTAAGTTAAAATGAATATCTTAAACTTCATTAAAAACCTGAAAAAACGTTTTAGTGTTACTTTTTAGTATTTTCTCACATAATTTTCATAAAAATACAATTCTATTAAAATTTTTCTTTAATGACATTTTACTATTTGCCAAATCTAATCCCCATTGTTCTTATTCCGCCCCCGCCCCCCTTGTTATTATTACACCTGACACTGTTGCTCACATCTTCTTGGAAATATTTCTTTTTCTCTTGGATTTCCACTCTTCAAGAAAACCTCCTTCATTTTCTGGTTCTGCCTCTTGGTCTCTATTACTGGCTCCTCATTATCACCTCTTCGATGTGGAAACTGGGCAGAGGGTCTTCATTTTAATCAAAGAGGTAAGTTCAAATAATCAGACAGAAACCTTTTTTTTTAAAGTTGCGCTATTAAAAGTTCTAATGTTCTTGCATCTGCATCCACTCTTTTATTTCCATCTGTTACATTATAGAACTTGTATCAGCTCTTTTTTAAGGTCAACTTTTCTATTTTTTGAAGTACATTTATTCTAACTTCTCAGTAATCTTACACTAAAAAAATTCCCTGTTTGCTCTTGATTATTTAGCTTCTAGTGTCTCTTTCCCATAAACATTTACATATGTTCAAATCTCCTTTATGGAGATAGATAAATAAAAACCTTAGTGTCACTCTAAGGATCTGAACCTCCATCTACACTGAGCATCTATATGAGACTGACTAAAATGATTCAATTTGGCACTAGTCAGTACTCCACTTTCCCTCCACACCTTGTGTCATCAGGCCCCATGGAGAAGCTAAACATAGTCAACAATTTAAACAATCTAATTGGAAATTGTGCAAAAGACATAAACAGAAATTTTACAAAAGAGGATATATGAATGATAAATAAGCATAAGACAAGAAGCTTAACATCATTAGACTTTAGAGAAATCAAATTTAAATTGTAAGTAAATATCACTAGACATCTATCACAATAATTTTCAATGTGTTGACCAAGGGAGATAGGATACATTATTTGATACATAGTATGGGGTAGACTAAATATCCACATGGAAAAGAAAGAAACTGAAACATTATCTTATACCACACAGAAAAATTAACTCAAAATGAATTAAATACCAAAGCATAGCACCAGAAAACATAAAACTCCTAAAAGAAAACAAAGAGGAAAAGCTCCTTGACATTAGTCTTGGCACTGACATTTTGATAAGACACACGTGAAAGAAAAGCACAGGCAGCAAAAGCAAAAATAAAGTTGGACTATATTAAACTAAAAAGCTTCTGCACAGCAATGAAATCAGAAAAAAGCAGCCTACAGATAAGAAGAAAATATTTGTTAACGACGTATCTATTAAGGAATTAATATCTAAAATATATAAAGAACTCACAGCCTAATAGCCAACAAAGAATAACCCAATTAAAAAATGAGCAAAAGACTTCATGAATCATCTTTCAAAAAAGATATAAAGATGGCCAACAGATATATGAAAAGGTGACCAACATCACTAATCATCAGGGAAACAAAAAATCAAAAGCACAATGAGTTATCACCTCACACCTGTTACAATGGCTATTATCAAAATGAGAAGAGATAGCAAGTGTTGTTGAGGGTATTGAGAAAAGAGGACCCCTTGTACATTGTCAGTGGGAAAATAGATTAGTATAGCTATTAGGGAAAGCAGTATGGAATTTCTTCAAAAAATTTAAATAGAAATATATATAATATAACAACCCTTCTTCTGAGCATATAACCAAGGGAAAAGAAGTCAGAACCTCACAGAGATATCTGCACTCCTATGCTCATTGCAGCATTATTCTCAATAGCTAAGATATGAAAGCAATCTAAGTGTTTATTAACAGGTTACCCTATAAAAAATGTGGTATAGAGAGGGTTGACTTCAAGATTGCTGACTAGATGCATTTGATATTCACCTTTTTCACCAAGAACCAAAATAGTGAGTAATCACACTTCAATAAATTATCTAAAAGATAATCCTGAAATTTAGCAGAAAAGTGACAGAAAATGCTAAAAGCAAGGAAAGAGCAAAGTGAGGCTCTCAATTTGCTTGACTGGGACCTTCTGGGAGCCTAGATAGGCTCCATATAGCAAGAAAGGTGTAAGTGAAAGATTTCCAAGAGCCCATATTTTTACCATGGACTCTTGCTATCTGAGACACAGGAGAGTCTCTCAACCCTTGTGGCCACTGAGACCAGCATAGGCATTGCTTCAGAATGGAAGTTCACACTAATATATACAAACCCACAAGCCTTAAGCAGCTACAGCACAACACTATTTTGAGAGCTCCTACCACACTGCACTCTGTCTTTGGGCACAAGAGAATCTGCATTGCCACATCACTGGAGCCCTGATAACATTCCCCACTTGTAGCCACAACTACCAGACTGAGGCAGGAGCCACTGGCAGCAACTCCATCGCCCCTAAAGAAGCGGCCACAGATTTTCACAAACCTGGAGGACAAATTACACTGCTCACAGCCACTACCATTGGTGGCTGTAGGGCCAAAACATGTAAAAGCACATGGCCTTAGCTGCCTGAAAATGGCATCCCCACTGAAAACAACCCAACTTTTCTCAGTAGCAGGGCTACAGCAAAGCTGCTGCCACCTCAACCTGAGCATTTCATTGGCATCCTGGGAATCACCACACCCCTGCCTACCACAGCCAGTGTCTGCATGTAACATATAAGGGAAGGGTCTGGGGACAGATATGCCATGTCTGGCTCTATCCTCCCAAGTACCTGAGCATGACATCCAAGGGCCTGGGTTTCCTCCAGCCCTGTTGACCATCATTCACACCTAAGCAATCCTCTCAGGGTCTGAGGTCAGGACCACACAACCTGCTGCTGCCACCACGGGGAGTATATACCAAAAGACACTCCCTGTGAGCCTGTGAAATGGCTCACACAGTATGTCACAGCCACTGTTAACATCAGCGTGGACACATGGGATCTCAGAGGGTTGTCCCACCACCGCTACACCTATTGTCCATGCCATGTCCACTCACGAAGGGACCAAGAACTTGTTTGCCTACACAGACAACTATTGTAGCTTCCAGTGCCAGAGCAACCTACCTAGAGGCCCAAGAATCAGCCTTGTTAGCTTGGACCCATTAACATGTGGCTAGTGTGTGCCACCCTGGGACTGGAAGACAGGCACAGTTGACCAATCACTGCCACTAAGAGGGCCCAAAGACTGGCCCACCTAGCAGCCGAGTCCCTAGGAATATTTTATCACAGCCTCCACTAACAACTTTACCCTAAACCCAACCTTGTCCAAACCATGGCTTATGGGCTGCATGCAATCAAGGATGGATTTGAATGTGACCCAACACAAATTTGGAAACTTTCTTTAAAAATTAGGAGTGTTTCAATTGCTACAAAGAAAATAAAATACCTAAGAATACAACTTACAAGGGACATGAAGGACCTCTTCAAGGAGAACTACAAACCACTGCTCAAAAAAATAAGAGAGGACACAAACAAACGGAAAAAAATTCCATGCTCATGGATATGAAGAATTTATAGATTGAATCCGGTTCTCATCAAGCTACCACGGACTTTCTTCACAGAACAAGAAAAAATACTTTAAATTTCATACGGAACCAAAAAAGGGCCCATAGAGCCAAGACAATCCCAAGCAAAAAGAACAAAGCTGGAGGCATCACGCTACCTGACTTCAAACTATACTACAAGGCTAAAGTAAGCAAAACAGCATGATACTGCTACCAAAACAGATATATAGACCAATGGAAAACAATAGAGGCCTCAGAAAAAAACAACACACATCTACAACAATCTGATCTTTGACAAACCTGACACACACAAGCGATGGGGAAAGGATTCCCTATTTAATAAATGGGAATTAAATATACTGTATACTGGCAAGCCATATACAGAAAACTGAAACTGGACCCCTTCCTTACACCTTATGCAGAAATTAACTCAAGATGGATTAAAGACTTAAAAATAAAACCTAAAACCATAAATACCTTAGAAGAAAACCTAGGAAATACCATTCAGAACATAGTCATGGGCAAAGACTTCATGACTAAAACACCAAAGGCAATTGCAACAAAAGCCAAAATTGATAAATGGGATCTAATTAAGCTAAAGAGCTTCTGTACAGCAAAAGAAACTATCATCAGAGTGAACAGGCAAACTACAGAAAGAGAGAAAGTTTTGCAATCTATCCATCTGACAAAGGTCTAATATCCAGAATCTACAAGGATTTTAAACAAATTTACAAGAAAAAAAACAAACAACTTCATCAAAAAGTGGGCAAAGGATATGAACAGGCAATTCTCAAAAGAGGACATTTATGTGGCCAACAAACATATGAAAAAAAAACTCATCATCATTGGTCATTAGAGAAATGCAAATCAAAACCACAATGAGATACCATCTCATGCCAGTTAGAATGGTGATAATTAAAAAGTTAGAAAACAACGGGTGCTGGAGAGGATGTGGAGAAATAGGAATGCTTTCACACTGTTGGTGGGAGTGTAAACTAGTTCACCCATTGTGGAAGACAGTGTTATGATTCCTCAAGGATCTAGAACCAGAAATACCATTTGACCCAACAATCTCATTACTGAGTATAAAATCAAAGAATTAGAAATTATTCTACTATAAAGACACATGCACATGTATGTTTATTGAAGCACTATTTGCAATAGCAAAGACTTGGAAGCAACCCAAATGCCCATCAATGATAGACTGGATAAAGAAAATGTGGCACATATACACCACAGAATACTATGCAGCCATACCAAATAATGAGTTCATGTCCTTTGCAGGGACATGGATGAAACTGGAAACCATCATTCTCAGCAAACTAACACAGGAATAGAAAACCAAACACTGCATGTTCTCACTCATAAGTGGGAGTTGAACAATGAGAACACATGGACACAGGGAGGGAAACATCACACACACTTAAGTTAATGGCCTCATTTCATCCATGGTGCTACAAAACACATTTTTGTTTTTTTAATTTTTTATAGCTGCATAATATTCCATGGTGGTGGTGGTGGTGGTGTGTGTGGGTGTATGTGCACACATGTGCACACAACTGTGTGTGTATAGCCGTATGTGGTGGTGGGCACCTGTAATTCCCAGCTACTCAGTAAGCTAAGGCAGGAAAATCACTTGAACCCAGGAAGCGCAGGTTGCAGTAAGCCGAGATCTCGTCATTGCACTTCAGCCTGGGCAACATGAGAGATTCCTTCTCAAAAAAATAAAAAAAGATTCTAAACACAAATACATTTACATTTACAAAATCTGAGAAAAAAGAATTTAAAATGTTGGTATTACAGAAGCTCAGTGACATGAAGAATCAATGTTGTTAACATGACCATATTAACTAAAGCAATCTATCTACCTAAAACACATTCCTTATCAAATTACCAACATCGTTTCTCACAGAATTAGAAAAAAAAATCCTAAAGTTTATATGGCCTCCCAGAAAGCCCAAATAGCCAAAGCAATTCTAAGCAAAATAAACAAATCTGAAGAAAGCACATTATCTGATTTTAAATTATACTTCAAGGATGTAATAACAAAAACAGCATGGTACTAGTAAGAAAATAGAGTGTTGATGAATGGAATAGTATACAGAACACAGAAATATACCACATATCTATGACCAACTAATGTTTGACAAAGTCAGCGAAAATATACACCAGAGAAAGGACACTATTCAATAAGTGGTACTGGGAAAATTGGATAGCCATATGAAAAAGAATAAATCTGGACTCACATCTATTCCCATATACAAAAATTTACTCAAGATGTACTAAGACTTAAATATAAGGCTTGAAACTGTAAAATTCCTAGAAGAAAAGAAAAAAAAAGTGCTTCTTGAAATTGACCTAAGCAAAGAATTTATGACTGAGTCTTCACAAGCAAATTCAATAAAACAAAACAGACAAGTGAGACTTAATTAATGTAAATGGCTTCTGTGCAGCAAAAGAAATAATCAATGGAGGAAGCGGACAAACTGCAGAATGGGAAAAAATATTTGCAAATCATGCAGCTGACAAAGGGGTATTATCTGGACTCTATAAGAAAATCAAACAAGTCAACAAGAGATAAAATCAAATAACCATATTTAAAAAGAGAGTAAAGAATATAAACAGACACTTTTCAAAAGAAAGCATACAACTGGCCACTAAACACATGCAAAATACTCAACATTACTCATTATCAGAGAAATTCTAATTAAAACCACAATGAGATACTGTCTTACAAAAGTTAGAATGGTTATGATTTAAAAGTCAAAAAACAACTGATATCAGTGAGAATATAGAGAAAATAGAGTGCTTGTATACTGCTGGTAGAAATGAAAATTAGTAAAACTTATCTGGAAAACAGTATGGAGAATACTCAAAACCTAAAAATAGAACTACCATTCGATTTTGATATCCCACTACAGAGTATATATCTGAAGGAAAAGAAATCGCCACATCAAAAAGATACCTGGACTCATGTATTTATCATAGCAATATTCACAGTAACAAATAAATAAAATCAACCTAGTGTTCATTAACAGATGATTGGATAAATAATATGTGATAAATACACACACAAACACACACACATATATATGTTAATATATATATATCAGAAAAAGGGTAAGTGAAAGATCACTAGAAGCCCACATATAATTGGGTATATAAAACCCAAAAGCCTACACACAATGGGATATATCCAATTAAGTCCCATTTGTCTATTTTTGTTTCATTGAGTTTGCTTCTGAAGACTTGGTCATAAGTTCTTTGCCTAGGCCAATTTTGAGAAGAGCTTTTCCTAGGTTTTCTTCTAGGAATTTATAGTTTCAAGCCTTACATTTAAGTCTTTAACAAATGTGGAGTTAACTATTGTATATGGTGAGAGATATGAGATCAGCTTCAAGCACTCTCAGTGGCCACAAGGGTTGAGAGGCTTTCCTGTGGCTCAGATTGCATGAGTCCGTGGTGAAAATGTGGGCTTCTGGGGATCTTTCACTTACCCTTTTCCTGCTATACACACATAAACACACACCACTACCACCACCACCACCATGGAATATTATGCAGCTATAAACAATTAAAAAAACCAAAAATGTGTTTTGTAGCAACATAGATGAAATGAGGCCATTAATTTAAGTGAAATAAACACAGAAAGCTAAATGTTGCATGCTCTTACTTATAAACGGGGGCTAAACGGATGCACATGGACATACGTAGTGGAATAACAGACATTCAAAATTACAAAAGGTGGCAAGGTGGGAGGATAGTAAGAGGTAAAAAATTACCTACATTGGGTATAATATTCACTATTGAGGTGATGGGTACACTAAAAACACAAACATCACCACTACACAATATACGCATGCAAAATTCTGCACTTGTACCCCCCAAGTTTATAAAATAATATGTATATGCATATATAAATAAAAATGTCAAAAGCTCAGTAAGATATATGAGCCTATTGAAAAATAATACAAAGAAATCAGTAAAACATTTGAGGATATGAATGAGAAAATTCCCAATGAGATATATAAAATAAACATGAAACAGATATATTAGTACTGAAAACTTTATTGAATTAAACACAAAATACCTTCAAAAACTTCAATAATTGACTAGATCCTGGAGTAGAAAGAATTACAGAACATGAAGACAGATCCTTTGAAATATTATAGGCATATGGAATTTTTTTAAAAAAGAATTAAAAGAAATCAGAAAAGCCTACATGACATATGGGACTCTATAATGTGACAAAATATTCAAATTTTCAATATCCCAGAAGGTTAAGAGAAAATTAAAGTTTTTGAAAATGTATTTAACAAAATAATAGATAAAATATTCTCAAGTCTAGCAAGAAATTTAGACATCCATTACAGGAGTCTCAGATATCCCCAAATAGATACAATCCAAAAATGTCTTCTATAAGACACACTAAGTGAAATTGTCAAAAGGTGAAGAAAAAGAGAGAATTATAGAATAAGCAAGAGAAAAGTATCTAGTCACTTATAAAATAACCCCTATCAAAATAACAGTAAAATTTTTGACAGAAATTTTAAAGCCCAGGAGAAAATGAGATGATATATTCAAAGTGGTAAAAGAGAAAAAATGAGCCTGACAAGGATACTATACCTAGCAAAGAAAACTATAAAAAGCTATCTTGCATAAGAAAGCAAGAAAAGGTCTCTCAAAGACAAGCAAAGACTGAGGAAATTTACCACCACTAGATCAAAAGGGAGTCCTGTACCCATAAGTGAAAAGATAATATCTGCAATCATGGAAATGTGCAAATGTACAAGACTCACTGGTAGAACACACAAACAAACAAAGAGGAGAAAAAACTCAAATGTTCCCACTACAGACACCATCAAACCACAATGGTAAGCACTGAGAAATAATGGAACAGAGAATACACAAAACAATCAGAAATCAACTAATAAAATGTCAAACACCAGCTCTCTTCTCTCAATAGTAACCTTAAATGTAAGCAGATTATAATTTCTTCTTATAACACTAAACATTATCCAATTATATACTGCATGCAGATGATTAATCTTACCTGTAAAACACATATAGACTGAATGTAAAAAGATAAAAAAGTTATTCTATGCAAACAGAAAACAAAAATATAAGCAGGAGTAGCTACACTTATATCAAATAAAACAAACTTCAAGTCAAAAACAGTAAAAAGAGACAAAGGTCATTATATAATGGCAAAGGGATCAAGTTAGCAAGAGGATACACCAATCCTAAACATACATGCAACAGACTCAGGATGACCCAATTAAATAAACTAAATATATTAGATCTAAAAATAGAGATAGAATCCAATACAATATCAGTTGAGGACTTCAAAACCCCACTCAGCATTAGAGAGATCATGTAGACAACAAATTAAAAAAGCAACATTGGATTTAAACTGCACTTCAGACGAAATGGACCAAACAAATACTTATAAATCATTTCATTCAACAACAACAGAACACGCATTCTTCTCAACAGCACATAAAATATTTCTGCAGGACAGAATATATGTTAGAACAGAAAACATGACTTAACATTTTTTAATTCAAATCATATCAAATACATTCTTGGATCATAAAGAAATAAAATTGCAAATTTATAAGAGAGACGCTTTGGAAAACTTACACATACATAACATTTAAACATGATTCTGAATGACCACTTGGTTGCGAAAGAGAATACAGAGGAAATTTTAAAAATTATTGAAACAAATGACAATTGAAAAAAAATAGCTAAACCTATAGGATATTTCAAAAGCTGTGCTAATAGGAAAGTTTATCGCAATAATCGTGTCCATCAAAAAGTAGAAATATTTCAAGTAAACAATCTTTTTTTTTTTTTTTTGAGACAGAGTCTCGCTCTGTCGCCCAGGCTGGAGTGCAATGGCATGATCTCCGCTCACTGCAAGCTCTGCCTCCCAGGTTCCCGCCATTCTCCTGCCTCAGCCTCCCAAGTAGCTGGGACTACAGGCGCCCGCCACCATGCCTGGCTAATTTTTTGTATTTTTAGTAAAGATGGGGTTTCACCGTGTTAGCCAGGATGGTCTCGATCTCCTGACCTCGTGATCCACCTGCCTCGGCCTCCCAAAGTGCTGGGATTACAGGCATGAACTACTATGCCAGGCCTCAAGTAAACAATCTTATTATGCAACTCAAGGAACAAGAAAAGTAAGAACAAATCAATGCCAAAATTAGTAAAAGAAATAATAAATATCAGAACAGAACTAAATAAAATAGAGACAAAAATAACAATACAAAGGATTAACAATACAAAAAGGTGGTTTGTAAAAAGATCAACAAAATGAATAAACACTTGCTAGACTAACCAAAAAAGTAAAGAGAAGACTCAAATATACAAAATTAGAAATGAAAATGGAGACATTACAAGCGATAACCACAAAAATAAAAAAGATCATGAGAGACTATTAAGACTAACTATACACTAAAAAACTAAAAATCCTAGAGAAAATCGATACATTTCTGGGCATATACAATATACCAAGATTTAATCAGGAAGAAATGAAACTCTTGAAAAAAAAATACAAATAAGGAATAATAATACATCAGTGATGTAAATTTTCTAAAAAAAAAAGGAAAGTCAAGGACTGGGTGGCTTCACTGCCAAATTCTATAAAACATTCAGAGAACAATGAACCCCAATTCTCCTCACACAGTTTCAAAAAATTGAAGAGGAGGGATTTCTCCTTATTTCATTCTATGAACCCAGCATTATCTTGACACCAAAATTAGTGAAAAAAGCAACAAGTGAGGAAACTATAGATCATTTTCCTGATGAAATTTAATACAGAACTTCTCAATGAAATGCTAACAAACCAAATGAGCAGCACATCAAAAATAATACAAAATGATCAAGTGGGATTTATCCTAAGGACGCAAGGATGGTTCAGCATGCACAAATCAATAAACCTGTTACATCACATCAACCAAATGAAGGACAAAATTTATATGGATCATCTAAACAAGCTCAGAAAAAGCATTTGATAAAACTCAATATTTCTTTATTATAAAAGCTCTCCACAAACTAGGCATGGGAGGAACATACCTGAACATAACAGAAACCATGTATGATCAACTCACAGCTGACATTATATTGAATGGAGAAATGCTGAAAGCTTTTCCTCTAAGAATTGGAACAAAACATGAATGTCCACTTCCACCGCTCCTATTCCACATAGTACTGGAAATCCTAGCCAGAACAATAAGGAAAGACAAAGAAAGAAAAGGCATCCAATTTGGGAAAAAAGAAAGTCAAATCATTTCTCTTTGTTGGTGATATGATTTATATCTATGAAAATTTCCATTAAAACACTTAGATCTAATAAATGAATTCAGTAAATTTGTAGAATACAAATCAACATGCAAATATCAGTAGGATTTCCATACACCAATAATTAACTAGCTAAGAAAGAGATCAAGAAAGCAATCCCATTTCCAAAACGACAAAAATATTACCTATGAATATATTTGACCAGGTAAGTAGGAGATCTCTAGAAGGAAAACTAAAAAACACTCATGAATAGTTGAAGAAGTCATAAAAAAATGAAAAGACCTCCCATCTCATAGATTGGAAAAATTGATATCCTTAAAATGATCATACTGTCCAAAGAAATCTACAGATTCAACTCCTATCAAAATACCAACATTATTTACAGCAATAAAAACCATAATCCTAAAGTTTATATGGGATCAGAAAAGACTCCTAATAGCCAAAGCAATTCTGAGCAAAAAGAACAAAGCCAGAGGCATGAAACTACCTTACTTCAAAATATAATACAAGAATATAGCATAGTATTGGTGTAACAACAGACACCCAGAACAAGGAAACAGAACAGGGAATCAAAATATAAATTCACGTATTTACAGACAACTGATTTTTGACAAAGGTGCTAAGAATATACATTGGTAAAAAGGACACTCTCCTTAATAAATGGTGCTGGGAAAAGTGAATGTCAATATGTAGAAAAATAAAACTATTTCTCTATCTTTTACCATATACAAAAATCAACTCCAGGTGGATTAAATATTTTAATGTAAGGCCAAAAACTATAAAAATATTAAATGTAGGAAAAACACTTCAAGACATACAGAAAAAGATTTTAGATTTTATGACTAAGACCTAAAGAGCACAGGCAACAAACCAAAAACAGACAAATGGTGCTATATTCAATTAAAAAGCCTGTGCATACCAAAGGAAATAATCACCAGAATAAAGAGACAACAATTTGTATGAAAGTAAATATTTTTATTCATCTGACTGAGGGACTAATATCCAGAATATACAAGGAACTCAAATAACAACAGTATTTCTTTTAAAAATCCTTTTAAAAAGAGGGCAAATACACACACAAAAGCAGTACCTTGAAATGTGTCTAACTAAGTAGGTGAAATATCTCTACAAAAAGAACTACAAAAACTGCTAAAAGAAATTATAAATGACACAAACAAATGGAAAAACATTCCATGCTAATGAATGGTAATAATTATTATTGTTGAAACGGCCTACTGCCCAAGGCGATTATTTTCAGAGTCAATGCTATTCTTATCAGACTGCAATGACATTTTTCACAGTAATAGGAAAAATAAAACTATTTTAAATTTAATATAGAACCAAAGAAAAGCTGAATAGCCAAAGCAATCCTAAGTAAAAGAACAAAGCAAAAGACATCACCTTACCTGACTTCAAACTATATTCTAAGGTTGAATTAACCAAAACAGTACAGCACTGGTACAAAAACAGACATGACACATAGGCCAATGGAACAGAATAGAGAACTCAGAAATAAAGACACCCACCTAGAGCCATCTGATTTTCAACAAAGTTGGCAAAAATAAGCAGTGAAGAAAAGACTCCATATATTCAACAAATGGTCCTGGGATGGCTGGTTAGCCATATGCAGGAGAAGGAAACATGACTGCTACCTTTCAGAATATGCAAAAGTTAACTCCAGATATATTAAAAATTTAAATGTAGGACTTGAAACTGTAAGAATCCTAGAAGAAAACCTAGGAAACACCATTCTGAACATCAGACTTGGGAAAAAAAAATTATGACAGTCCTCAGAAGCAATTGCAACAAAAACAAAAATTGACAAATGAGACCTATGTAAAGAGTTTCTACACAGCAAAAAGAATCAAAACAAACACAAAAAACATCAACAGTGTAAAGAGAAAATCTAAAGAATGGGAGAAAATATTTGCAAAATATGCACCCAACAAATGTCTAATATTCATAATCTATAAGAAACTTCAACAATTCAACAAGCAAACAACCCCACAAAAAAGTGGGCAAACGACATTAGCAAACACTCCTCAAATGAAGACATACCATCCGCCAATGAACATGAAAAAATGATCAGCATCACTAATCATCAGAAAAATGAAAGTCAAAAACACAGTGAGATAATATCTCACACCAGTCAGAATAGCTATTACTAAAAAGTCTGAAAAACATAGATACTGGCATGGCTGTGGAGAAAATAGAATGCTTATACACTGTTGGTGGGAATGTAAATTAGTTTAGCCACTGTGGAAAACAGTTTGGAGATTTCTCAAAAAATTTAAAACAGAACTAACATTTGACCCAGCAATCCAATTACTGGATATGTACTCAAAGGAAAATAAATAATTCTGCCAAAAGACATATGCATTTATATGTTCATTGCAGCATTATTCACAATAGCAAAAGCATTGAATCAATCTAAGTGTTCATTAATAGTGGATTGGATAAAGAAAATGTGGCATATATCTACTGTGAAATGCTGTGCAGCCAAAAAACAAAAAAAAATCATGTCTTTTGCAGCAATGTGGATGCAGCTAGAGGCCATTATCCTAAGTGAATTAATGCAGGAACAGAAAACCAAATACCACTTGTTCTCACTTATTAGTGGAAGCTAAGCATTGGTTACACATGAGCATAAAAATAGAAATAGCAGACACTAGGTATTATGAAAGGAGGTGAAAGGGAGGGTGCATAAGCTGAAAAAATACCTATTGGGTATCATGCTCACTACTTGGGTGATAGAATCATTCAAACCTCAAACCTCAGCATCACACAATATACCAATGTAATAAGCCTGTACATATATCCCGCAAATCTAAAATAAAAGTTGAAATTATACAATAAGAAGAAAAACAAAAACAAATAATATATATGTTCATATATCTAACGGATCCTCTCCAACCTTCATCTTAAATTCTGAATAGTTTCAACACTGTTGTACCGGTATCGGGTTATGGAATTGGTCTCCTAAGCAACCTGTTAGTCACTTGGGTATGTATTTTTTTTTTTAAATAACTGAGTCCTACATTTTTGGCCACCCTATATTTGCCTAAAAGAAGCTTCACCCATAGACTTACCTTTTTTGTCGTCTGAGTTTTTAATAAAAATATAAAATGCAGTTTGCACAATAAATCTTATATAAATATAATTCATGCTACAATTCAACCAGAGGATTGTAGACTTACTTAATTCAGAATCAGTAATTTACTCAGTAGTCTCTACAAATAATAGAGATGATGATGAATATGGTTGAACAAATAGACAAGGTTTCCTAATTTCTCCCTGCAAACAATGACATTGGAAAAAAGTACTAATGAAGAAATAAATGAGTTTGAAAAAATTATTCTAAAAAGACATTTTCTGATCACATTAGAGAGATTAAGTGTTTCCATGGTCTCTTGACCAGTTGCATGCTTTCGGCTGCTTTCAAATTGATAAAAATAAAATCATTTTTAAAATCCCAAAAGTAAAATTGGACAAATAATATGAATAAATGTTTTTCAAAAGAAGTCATACAAATAACCAACAGGTATATGAAAGAATGCTCAAAATCATCAGGGAAATACAAATCCAAACCAAAATATGATATTTTCTTATCATAATTATAATCGCTATTGTTAAAAATACAAAAAATAACTCTTATACACTGTTGGTGGAAACGTAAATTAGTACAGATACTACAGAAAATAGTCTGAGGATTTCTCAAAACAACTAAAAATTGAATCAATCTATCCAGTAATTGCACTACTTTGTTTTTATCCAAAGAAAAATAAATCAATATGTCAAAGGGAAACCTACATCCCCATATTTACTGCAGCACTATTTACGATATTCAAAAATACGGAATCAATCAAAGTATCTATCAAAGGATGAATGGATGAAAAGAATGTGGTATATACACATAGTGGACTATTATTTGACCATAACAAAAAATGATATCATGTCATTTGCAGCAACATGGATGTAATTGGAGGTCTTGATGTTGAGTGAAATAAGTAGGCAAAGAAAGACAAATATCTCATGTTCTCACTCACACCTGGGAGCTGACATAGTTGATCAAATAGAGGTAGAGTGTGCAATGATATGAACCAGAAACTGGGAAGGTCCTACTGATGGAAGGGGGAGATGAAGAGAGGGTAGTTAATGTGTACCACATACAGTTAGGTAGAAAAAAAGAAGTTCTAAAGTTTGATAGTAGAGAAGGGTTACTATAGTTAGCCACAAAGCTGCATTGTATATTTCAAAGTAGCTAAAAGAAAGAAACTGAAATGTTTCCAATACACAGAAATAAAAAATACTCAAGGTGATGCATACCTAAAATAACCTGATTTGATCATTACACATTTCCTGCAACTACAAAATAGTATATCTACCTAATAAACATTTGCATATTATGTATCATCTTAAAAAAGGAATTCTGAATATATATATATATATCAGCCTTGAATAAATAAAGAGGTCCTGACATTTGCAAAAACAAAACAAAACAAAACAAAAAACAGATGAACAAGGAGGACAATATACTTAGTAAAATTAGGCAGATAAAGATAAAAGAATACTGAATAATTTCTCATACATGTGAAATATATTTTTAAAAAGTTGAATGCAATACATATAAGCCAGAGAGTGGAACTGTGGTGGGAGAGAGAAAATAGGAAAATTTTGGTCAAAGTGTACAAAGTTGCATTTATGCAGAAAGAATAAGACCAGAGATGTAATGTAAAGCCTGATTACTAGAGCTCATACTATTGTAATGTATACTGGAAATTGCTATGAGAGTAGATTTTAGGTACTCTTACCACAAAAAAGTTAACTATGTGATATGATGGATACTTTAATTAGCTTGACTATAGTAATCATTTAACTCTGCATATGTGTGACAAAACATCATGTTGTACACCTTAAATATATACAATTTAAAACATACATGAAAAGAACGTGTCAATACCAAAAGCTGGTAAAAATGTGGAGAAATTGCACCTTTATATATTGCTATAGGAATGTAAAGAGGTATACTGGAAAACATTTTGTCAGTTTCTTATAAAACTAAACATAAAATTGTCATAAACCCAGCATTGTCCTCTTCAGTATTTTTTCCTAGAGAAATCAATGTATTTTCACACAAAATTTTTACACAAATATACATATTATCTTTACTCGTAAAAGTCAATTAATGGAAGCAGCCCAGATATTCTTCAATAGGTGAGTGGTTAAATAAAATGTGGTACTTCCATAAAATGGGATACTCAGCAATCAAAAGAAACAGAGTCTTGATACACACAACAACTAAGATGAATCTTCAAAGAATTATGCTTAGTGAAAATCTCAATTCTAAGAAGTTACATACTGTATGAATCCATTCCTGTATCATTCTAAATTGACATAATTATAAAAATGGAAAACTGATTAGCAGTTCGCACAAGTCAATGTAGGACTGGAAGAAAAACGAGATGGTTGTGGCTATAAAAGGGTAGCATGAGGAATATTCGTGGTTATAGAATGTGTTTGTGTTTTGACACTACAGTAGTCCCCATTTATCCATGGGAGATACCTTTCAAGATCATCAATGAATGCCTAAAACTGCAAATAGCACTGAACCCTACATATACTATGTTTTTTTCTATACATACAAACTTATAATGTTTAATTTATAAATTAGGCACATAAGAGATTGACAACAACTAATAATGAAATAGAATTAACAGTAAACAATAAGTAATGTGAATATAATCTACCTCTCTCTATTAAAATATCTTACTGTACTTTACTCACCTATTTTTGAACCACAGTTGACCATAGGTAACTGAAGCTGTACGAAACAAAATTAAGGATAAGGGGGTCTACTGTATCAATGTCAATATCTTGATTGTATTGCTTTACTGTAGTTTTGCAATATTGTAACTTTGGTGGGTGAAAACTGGGTAAAGAATACATGGATTCTCTTTGTATTATCTCTTA
Organism: Homo sapiens; assembly: GCF_000001405.40. Classification (NCBI taxonomy): domain Eukaryota; kingdom Metazoa; phylum Chordata; class Mammalia; order Primates; family Hominidae; genus Homo; species Homo sapiens. Next base: position 82,174,086 of record NC_000023.11, on the reverse strand, counting down.
CAACTGCATGTGAGTTTACAATTATCTCAAAATTAAAAGCTTAATTAAAATATGTGTGTATGAATACCTTCCCCCATACACACATTCTTTTATAGCTATTATCCTAAATTTCTCCTCTTCACAAAATTTTGAAAGAATTGTCTACATGTTCATTCTCAATTTCTGCATATTCTACTTAATTTTTAACTAACATGGCATTTAACACTATTATGCTACCAATTCAACTGTCCCTGTCTTCGTTAATTCACTGTTTACTTTGTAGTCCATGTCTTCCCTCCCTTCTCAACATCACTTTATACAATTTACTGTTCCTCTTTCTTGAAACACTGTTTTACACGGACATCTGTTACACCATGTTGTCTTATACTTTCTCCCAACTTCCTGGCTATTTTATTTTGGTGTCCTTTACCAGCTCACATTTCTCTACTGGACGTTAAATGTTAGAATTCCTAAGGCTCAGAACTAGGTCTTCTTCTAGGCCACCTCATCAATAGTAAATGTTTAAATTAACATCTACAGTGCAATAAGATCTTAACAAGACAGGATCTTCACTTTCGGGGATCTTAAATATCATAAATACATATGATATTCTTAAAAAAATACCCATATTTACATTTTATTAGCATGATTTACTAATTTTAAATATGTAAACTTATAGTACGGTGACCTTTATTTGTACTTTTGGCCTAGGAATTGACCAGGAGAATATCTCTGGTCCAGCCTCCTTCTCTGAGATTTAGACATATATTTCAAAATGCTTACTCAAATTCTACACCTGGATATCTCAAAATCAGCATATCCAATACCAATTTATGATCTTTCTTCCCAAGGCCATTTATTTTACAGTATTCTCAATTTATTTGTATGTTATCCCTGCCAATCCAGTTATGTAATTGATAAATATAGGAGACATCATTGATTGCTCCCTTCCTTTTATTATCCCCAAGGTAAATACATTACTAAGTTCTTTAGATGTTACCTGTAAAGTATATCTCAAATAAATTCATTTTACTCCAACATCACCATCAACACTCTAGTCCAAGAGTTCATTTTTGCCTAGGCTTCTGCAGTAATATCACAGCTAATCTCCCCATATCTATTCCTTCTTCTTTGTTATCTATTCTCCACATTTCAGACACAGTGATACTTTTATAACATAAATGTGTTTATGTCACTACATCTCCTGGTTAGTGACTTCAAGGGCTCCTTATGGACCTTAAATATCTAACTCCTTAATGTGGCCATGCTCCTGAATAGTTTGTCACTTCCAACCTTTCTAACTTTATTTCACAACATATTATCACATTTTCTTCTCAGAATACCGAGTTTCTTGCCAGTACAGAGACATTGTAAATCCTGCTGCTATTTTTTTTTTTAAAAAGAACATTTACTTTTATATTAATTCTTTAAAAATATAATAATATCCATATTGCATTTTTGGAGATTTAGCCTAGGAAACAATTAACGAGAAAAATGTTGTATGTAGGAAGATATTCACAATAGCAAAATTTTGAAAACCTTGAAAGTGTCCATAATTGGGGAAATGAATGACTAAGTGATTACTTATAGACTCTGTGAAATATTATTACAACTACTAAAAGAGATAATATACTATAAAACAAATTGTAACAAGTATCTTTACGCTATTATTACTCCAGGTGAAATGTATATGCAAATGAACAAAGACTGGAAAACAACGCATAGAACCTTTCAGAGCTGCTCTAACAATAGTATGAGGTTAGGAATTTATTTCTCAATTGTCCAATTTTTCCATAGTATTGCTATAAAGCTTTAATTCCAAAATACAATATATATAATATAATAAACAATAATATATTTACTATGCATATATAGGCCTGTGAAGACCAAATACTTTCAACCTTTGTTTAGCTGAGAATATCTTCACTTTGCCTACATTTCTGATGAACAGTTTTGCTGGATGTAGAATTCTTGGTTAATCTTTCTTTTTCTCTTTCAGCCTTTTAAAAGAAAATGTTATTTTAGGTTAAGGTATACATGTGTAGGTTTGTTATATAGGAAAACCTCATGTCATGGGACTTTGATGCACAGATTATTTCATCACCCAGGTGACTATTGGGTACTAAGACTAGTACCCAGTAGTTATGTTTTCTGCTGCTGTCCTCCTACCATCTACCTTCTGGTCAGCTCCAGTGTCTGTGGTTTCCTTCTTTGTATTCATGTGTTCTCCTTATTTAGTTTCCATGTATAAGTGAGAATATGTGGTATTTAGTTTTCTGTTCCTGTGTTAGTTTTCTAAGAGTAATGGCCTCCAGCACCATCCATGTTCCTGCAAAAGATATGATCTCATTTTTTATGGCTGCATAGTATTCCATGTTGTATATGTATCACATTTTCTTTATCCAGTCTTCCACTGATGGGCATTTAGGTTGATTTTATGTCTTTGCTATTTTGAGTAGTACTGCACTGAATGTACATGCACTTGTGTCTTTATAATAGAATGGATTTATATTCCTTTGGATATTTATCCAGTAATGGATTTCTGGGTTGAATGGAAGATGCTTGTAGGAGTTCATGGAATTGCTACATTGCTTTCCACAATGCTCAAACTAATTTACATTTCCATCAACAGTGCATAAGTGTTCCCCTTTCTCCGCAACCTTGCCAGCATCTGTAATTTTTTGACTTCTTAATAATAGCCATTTTGACAGGTGTGAGATGGTATCTAATTTTGGTTCTGATTTTCACTTCTCTAATAATCAGTAATGTTGAGCTTTTTTACATGTTGTTGGCGGCATGTATGACTTCTTTTAAAAAGTGTCTATTCAGGTACTGTTCCCATTTTTTAATGGGGTTGATTGATTTTTCTTGTAAATTTAAGTTCCTTATAGATGTTGGGTAATAGAACTTTGTCAGATGCATAGTTTGCAAATATTTTCTCCCTTTCTGCAGGTTGTCTGTTTTCTTTGTTGATAGTTTCTTTTGCTCTGTAGAAGCTCTTTAGTTTAATTAGATCCCATTTGTTTATTTTAGCTTTTGTTCCAATTGCTTCTGACATCTTCATCATGAATTTTTTTTCCAGTTTAAATGTGCAGAATGGTATTGCCAAGGTTGTCTTCCAGGGTTTTCATAATTTTCGGTTTTACATGTAAGCCTATAATCCATCTTGAGTTGATTTTTGTACATGGGGTAAATAAGGCGTCCTGTTTCAATCTTCTGCATATGGCTAGCCAGTTATCCCAGCACCATTTATTGAATAAGGAGTCCTTTTCCCATTGCTTCTTTTTGCAGCTTTGGTGAAGATCAGATGGTTGTAGGTGTGAAGCCTTATCTCTGGGTTGTGTATTCTGTTCCATTCATCTATGAGTCTGTTTGTGTACCAGCGTCAAGCTGTTTTGGTTACTATAGCCCTGTAGTATAGTTCAAAGTTGAGAAGCATGATGCCATCTGCTCTTCTCTTTTTGCATAGGATTGTCTTGGCTATTCAGGCTCCTTTTTAGTTCCATATAAATTTTAAAATAAGTTTTTCTGGTTCTTTAAAAAATGTAATTTGTAGTTTGATAAGATTAGGATTGAATTTATAAATTGCTTTATGAAGTATGGTCATTTTTACAATGTTGATTCTACCCATCCATGAGCATGGGATGTGTTTCTATTTGTTTGGGTCATCTCTGATTTCCTTGAACAATGTTTTGTAGTTCTCCTTGTAAAGATCTTTCACTTCCCTGATTAGCTGTATTCGTTAAGTATTTCATTCTTTTACTGGCAATTGTGAATGGGATGTTGTTTCTGATTTGGCTCTCCACTTAGCTATTGTTAACTTACAGAAATGCTAGTAATTTTTCTATATTAATTTTATATTTTGAAATTTTGCTGAAGTTGTTCATTAGCTTCAGGAGCTTTTGGGCCACGACTATAAGGTTTTCTAGATATAGAATCAAGTCATTTGAAAACAGGGACATTTTTACTTCTTCTCTTTCTATTTGAATGTATTTTATCTTTTCCTTTTGCCTGATTGTTCTGGCCAGGACTTCTAATATTATGTTGAATAGGAGTGGCTAGAGAGAGTATCCTTGTCTTGTGCCGGTTTTCAAAAAGAATGCTTTCAGCTTTTATGCATTCGGTATGATGTTGGCTGTGGGTATGTCATAAATGGCTCTTATTTTGATGTATGTTCCTCCAATATCTATTTGTTAAGAGTTTTAAAAATGAAGGAATCTTTTATTTTGTTGAAAGCCTTTCTGCATCTATTGAGATGATCATGTGGCTTTTTCCTTTAGTTCTTTTTATGTGATGAATCACATTTATTGATTTGCATATATTGAACCAACATTGCAGCCAGGGACAAAGCCTATGTCATTATGGTGGATTAGCTTTTTGATATGTTACTGGATTCTATTTGCTAGTATTTAGTTGAGATTTCCGGAGCATTTTCTTAGTCTTAAATTACATTTTTATTACACTGTGGTACAAGAGAGTTGTTGGTATAATTTTCGTTCTTTTGCATTTGCTGAGAAATGTGTTATGTCTAATTGTATGTTTAATTTTAGAGTATGCATCATGTGCAGATGAGAAGACGGTATATTCTGTTGTTTTGGAGAGGAGAATTCTGTCTATCAATCCATTAATTCCAGTGATGAATTAAGGTGCTGAATATGTTTGTTAATATTCTGGCTCTATAATCTGTCTAACATGGTCAGTACTGTTAGTGGAGTGTTGAAGTCTCCCACTGTTATTGTGTTGGAGTGTTAAGTCTCTCTCTCTTTTTGTTTTTTTTGTTTGTTGGTTTTTTGTTTTTGAGACAGTGTCTCACTCTCTTGCCCAGACTGGAGTGCAGTGGTGTCTTCTCGGCTCATCGCAACCTCCACCAACCAGGTTCAAGCAATTCTCCTGCCTCAACCTCCCAAGAAGCTGGGATTACAGGCGTGTGTCACTACTAATTTTTGTATTTTTAGTAGAGACAGAGTTTCACTCTGTTGGCCAGGCTGGTGTCGAACTCCTGACCTTAAATGATCCACCCTGCTTGGCCTCCCAAAGTGCTGGGATTACAGGGGTGGGCCATTGTACCCGACCTCTTTTTTTTTTTTTTTTTTGAGATGGAGTTGTGTTCTGTTGCCCAGGCTGGAGTGCAGTGGCACAATCTCAGCTCACTGCAACCTCTGCCTCCTGGGTTCAAGGGATTCTCCTGCTTCAGCCTCCCAAGTAGCTGGGATTACATGTGCCCACCAGCACACCCAGCTACTTTTTGTAATTTAGTAGAGATGAGGTTTCACCATGTTGGCCAGGCTGGTCTTGAACTCCTGACCAAAAGTGATTCACCTGCCTCAGCCCCTCAAAGTGCTGAGATTACAGATGTCAGTCACTGTTCCCGGTCTTGGAGCAGTCCTTTGAATGTCTGTGAAAATTTGTTTCATGAATCCAGATGCTCCTGTCTTGTGTGCATATATATTTAAGATAGGTATAACTTCTTGTTGAATGGAACCCTTTACCATTATGTAATACCCTTCTTTTAAAAAAAATTGTTGGCTTAATATCTGTTTTATCTGAAATTAAGTCTGCAACTCCCACTATTTTCCGTTTTCCATGTGCTTGGTAGATTGCTAGATTTTTCTCCATCCCTTTATTTTGAGCTTGATATGGTTTGGCTGTGTCCCCACCCAAATCTTATCTTTAATCCCCATGCGTTGTGGAAGGCACTGGGTGCGAGGTAATTAAATCATGAGGCAGGTGTCTCTTGTGCTGTTCTCCTCATGATAGTGAATAAGTCTTACAACATCTGATAGTTTTAAAAATGGGAGTTTCCCTGCACAAGTTCTCTCTCTTCTCTGCTGCCATGTGAGACATGCCTTTCACCTTCTGCTATGATTGTGAGGTCTTCCCAGCCATCTGGAACTGTAAGTCCATTAAACCTCTTTTCCTTTCCAGTCTCAGGTACTTCTTTATCAGAAGTGTGAAAACTGACTAATACAGAGCTTATGGGTGTCACCAAATGTGAAATAGGCCTCTTGAGGACAGCATTCCATTAAGTCTTGCTTCTTTGTCCAGTTTGCCACTCTGTGCCTTTTAATTGTGGCACATAGCCTGTTTACATTGAAGGTTAGCATTGATGTGTGAGGATTTGATCCTGTTATTGTTTTATTAGCTGTTTAATATACTGACATTTGTGTGTGGTTGCTTTATAGTGTCGCTGGTCTGTGTACTTATATGATTTTTTGTAGTGGCTGGTAATGGATTTTTTTCTTTCCAGATTAAATGCTTCTTACAGGAGCTCTTGAAGGCAAATGTGATCACAAATTTCCTCAGAATTTGCTTGTTTGAAAGGTAAATTATTTCCCCTTTGCTTATAAAGCTTAGCTATTCCACATATAGAATTAAACTTTATTTTCTTCAAGAATTTTGAATATAGACCCTCAATCTCCTCTCACTTTTAGGGTTTCTGCTGAGAAGTGCACTATTAGTCTAATGGGCTTCCCTTTGAATGTGACCTGTCCTTTCTCTCTAGCTGCCTTTAATAGTTTTTTCTTTCATTTGACCTTGGAGAATCTGATAATTATGTGTCTGTGGAATAATTTTTGTGAAGTATTTTGTGGTAGTTCCCTGCATTTCCTGAGTTTGAATGTGGGCTTTCTAAGCTAGATTGGGGAAGTTCTCTTGAATGTTATTCTGAAATATGTTTTCCAATTTGCTTCCATTCTCCCCATCTTTTACAGATACACCAGTGAGTTGTAGAATCTTATACATAATTCCACATTTCTCCAAAGCCTAGTGCATTTCTTTTTCTTCTTTTATTTTCACTCTTTTCAGAAACCCAATCTCCAAGTGCTGAGATTTTTTCTTTTCCTTGGTCTATTCTTCTGTTCATTCTTTTTTTTTTTTTTTTTTTTTTTTAACGGAGTCTCGCTCTGTCGCCCAGGCTGTAGGACAGTGGCATGATCTCGGCTCACTGCAACCTCTGCCTCCCAAGTTCAAGTGATTCTCCTGCCTCAGCCTCCTGAGTAGCTGGGACTACAGGCATGCACTTCTAGGCCCAGTTAATTTTTGTGTTTTTAGTAGAGACAGGGTTTTACCATGTTGGTTGGCCAGGATGGTATCGATCTCTTGACCTCGTGATCCACTGCGCCCAGCCTCTTCTGTTCATTCTTGTGATTGCATTGTGAAATTCTTGTAGAGTGTTTTTTAGCTCTATCCGTCTGGTTACATTCTTTTCTATACTGGCTATTTTGTCCATCAGCTCCTGTATCATTTTATTGTGATCCTCAGCTTCTTTAGATTGGGTTTCTACATTCTTCCAAATCTCGATGATCTTCATTCCTATCCATGTCCAGAACCTCACTTCTGTCATTTCAGCCATCTCAGCTCATCTAAGAACTTCTGCTGGAGAACTAGTGTGATGGTTTGGAGGAAAGAAGACACTCTGGCTTTTTGAGTTGTTAGAGTTCTTGTACAGGTTCTTTCTCATCTTGTGGGCTGATGTTCCTTCAAACTTTGAAGTTGACTTCTTTGGATTTTTTTTGTTGTTCTTTACCTTATATGATGATCTTGGGGTATTTGCAACTAAGGCTGTGATGGCAGTGATAGCATGGCTAGAGGGGTAAGGGTCCCCCTCGGACAACTGTGTAAGCATTCATGCTGGTGGTTGTTTTAGCATGAGGGCAGGGTGCTGAGGAGCGCAGGACTGTTTGCATCCTTCATGCTGTGTACATTCAGGCTGGTGATGGTGGCTGCTCAGGGTTGAGGGTGTGTTTACTGTTTTCTGTGCCTAGTTTCGCACTGGCAACTGTATCAGCTCAGGGACATGCTTCTGGCAGAGGCAGAGCTGGTGAGTTCCATGCCTGCTAATGCTCTGATGACAATGGTGATGGAGCAGGGCAAGTGGATGTGAGGTGGACTCATCTGGTAGCAGTGGCATGGTAGCTCAGGGGCATGGTGCTGGCAGAGGCAGAGCTGGTGACCACTATGCCTGCTAATGCTCTGATGAAAATGGTGGTGCAGCAGGGTAAGCAGATGTGAGGTAGGCTCATTTGGCAGCAGTAGCATAGCAGAGTGCATGTGCACACATGTGCTGGCAGGGAAAGGAAAGTAAGGGCTGCCTGAGTTCACAAGCACTGGCAAAGTGATGTGGGGAGTGGCTGTGGGCTAGTGCCTGTAAGCAAATTGGCACAAGGGAAGCTGCAGTGAGGGAAGGTCACAGGTTGGCTGTTTCATGTCCATGGGTTCTTCTCTGCTGGAGCACTCTGTTGATCTGGTGCCATCCACCAGCACAGGAGCTATGATGCTGGCTCGCAGAAGGTACCTAGGGGCTGCACTGTAAGCAGACATGGCGAGGCTGGGGCCCTGAGAGAGGCCAGCCTACCAAAGGGTGCTCAGGTTGGACCAGCCCCTCTCATGGGCAAAACATCCCTGCAGGGTTCAGGTCTGGCAGTTCCCATAGAGCTAAAGCCTCCTCTGGGAGCAAATGTAGGCTAGAGGAATGGGTGTCTTAGGCTGTGTTCCACTACAGATGCTCTCACGCCAAACAACTGGGCTCTACCCCAACTGAAGTTTTGCCCCTGTCACTTCTCTAAGCAGGTTTCTTTGACAACTTGTGTCCATGGAGTTCCATGGGTCTCCTCCTGGCAGGATTCCAGGGACCTGTGATAAAAGCGAGTTGATCCTTGCCTTTTCAACTCACCCCCTCCGCAGAAGTCGTTGGAGGCCAGGAACGCATCCTGGTGTATGGTAGCCCTGTGCAGAGTTCCCAGATTCCTCCCACTTCAGCCTAGCATCTGTGTCTTCCTTCTGTTTACTCTCAATGCTTTCCCTTTGAATATCTGCTGGGAGTGCACCTGTCTTCCCAATGTCCCTGTCCTTCAGTGCCGGATATTCCTCCTGGCTACATCTAGTCGGCCATCTTGGGGCTCCTCCCTCATTTTGCTTCTATATATTGTAAACACTTATATATTGTAAGCCCCTAATACATACTGTTGACTTAATTAACCCCTGCGCATTCTACACTTAAGCATTACTTCCTTAGGATGGTTTCTCTGCCTCCACAGCTTAAATCAGTTTTCTTTGTTTTATACTTTTATAGTGTCATTTCTCTGTGTTTGTTTGAAATTATTTTTGTCAGTTTTTTCTCTTAGTTTTATTAAGATATAATCCACACACCATAAAACTGAACTTCTTAATAGTGTACAATTCACCAAATTTCAGGATATTCACAGATATATCTCCCCTAAAAAACCATACATACATATATATATATATTTCAGCAGATACCTTTTATTCTCCAGCTACCTCTACCCCTCTACTTCTCCCTCCAACACACATGGCTTGGCAGCCGTTTAGCTTCTTCAATTTAATCTCTATTCTGGATATTTTACATAAATGGAATTACATAATATGTGTATTTTGTGACTAGCTTGAATTTGAATTTTAAAACTTTTGTATCACCAGACAAGAATACAAGAATTCTGAACTGAAGCTCTATTTTCTTATTTGTGAAATAAAGAAAATAATAACTCTTGGGACAGTTGTAAGTAATAAATAAAATAATAATATGTTAAAGCAGGCAGTACAGTGTCTAGCATACAGAAATTGCCAAATAAAATTTGGGTTGATTTTTTAGAACAATTCTAAGGCAGCTATCCCAAGTCTTTATGCCAGATGCTTTCCCCATGTCTTTCTGTGCAAAGGGCAAAGGGATGCTTTACTCAAGCTGTATTTATCAATTAAAATGGCTTTTTTCTTTTATTTTTAGTTGGCATGTAATAATTGTACATACTTATAGAATACAGAGTTAAATTTTGATACATATATGCAATGTGCAATGATCAAATGTTAGTTTTAATTATGCATAATTTCTGTTATGTTGTTGATGCCTACATCTGCCACTAGATTGTAAACTGCATATTGGCAGTGACTGAGTGACTAAGTCTGCGTTTTTTCAAAATTTTTCCCTGGCAGCCAGTACCAGTTTTTGACACATAATATTGTCTCTAGAAGTATTGATTGAATAGATTACTGAATGAAAAGTGTGTGTGTATGTGTGTGTGTGGGTGGGTGGGTGGGTGTGTAAATACAAGGGTATATGGCAGATAGAGATTACTAATGATATGTTTACCAAGAACATGGTTACCAACAAAAGTCATAGCTTGGATATTACTGATATAGTCATAGTAGAAACAAGCATTTCAAAATAAGAAGCAGCTAAGGCCCCAGGCAAGGAAAGTTTTACCAAGTGAGTCAGAAAAGGAGCTCAGCAAAATTTGCTGCACTGGAACATAAATTGCATGAGGCCTTTCATCTGGAACTAATTATAGTCTACCCAGAAATCTATTTATCTGAGGCAGAGTGTGGCTTCATTTAAATAATCTGCTACTATATATTTTCTTGCTTTTTAGATTTTCAGGTGAGTGCCAACTTTCTTTGTATTCCTCTTTCTTAAAGACAATGTGCATGGCAAAATTCTACAGGAGATGTTTATTCTTTTATGGGGGTTTAGGTCCTCCCTCAGTTTGGTAGACTACATCTTATCTTAGTATTTGTGATTCATTCATTAGAGTGTCTCAATTCTACAGTCTCCGGTATTTATTTGAGATTCCAGCAGAAAACTCTGTGAACTATATGTTAACAACTCCATCCTCTTAAGAAATCTTGTACACTCTCATGGCTTCCACAACCTATCAGATCTCAGGCTTCTACCATAACCTAAGTAAATTGTTTCCAAATACAGCAATTATTAGTATTAGTCCATTATCACATTGCTATAAAGAACTACCTGAGACTGGGTAATGTATACAGAAAAGAGGTTTGATTGGATCACAATTCTGCAGGCTGTACAGCAAGCATGGCTGGGTAGGCCTCAGGAAACTTACAATCATGTTGAAAGGCAAAGAGGAAGGAGGCACGTCTTACATGGCTGGAACAGGAGGAAAAGAGAATAGGAGGAGGTGCTACACACTTTTATATGAGCAGATCTCATGAGAACTCACTCCCTATTATGAGAACAACAAGAGGAAACTCTGCCACCATGATCTAATGACCTCCCACCAAGCACCTCTTCCAATATTGGGGATTACAATTTGGCAAGAGATTTGGGCAGTGACACAAATCCAAACCATATAATTCTGCCCAGGCTCCTCTCAAATCTCATGTCCTTCTCAAATTGCAAAACACAGTCATGGCTTCCCAGCAATCCTCCACAGTGTTAAATTATTTAAGCATTAACTCAAAAGTCCACAATCCAAAGTCTCATCAGAGACAAGGCAAGTCCCTTCTGCCTATGAACCTATAAAATCAAAATCAAGGTAGTTAATTCCAAGAGACAATGGGGATACAGGCATTGGCTAAATAGTGCTGCTCCAAAAGGAAAATATATGCCAAAACAAGGGGGCTACAGGCCTCATGCAAGTCTGAAACTAAACAGTGCAGTCATTAAATCTTAAAACTTCAAAATAATCTCCATTGACTCCATCTTTCACACTCAGGCCCCCTAATACAAGGGGTGAGTTCTCAAGGCCTTGGGCATCTCCACATATGTGTCTCTGCAAGGTACAGCCGCCTCAGCTGCTTTTATGGGCTGACATTGAGTGCCTGAAGTTTTTCCAGGTGCACAGTTCAAGCTGTCAATGTACCTGCCAGTCTGGGGTCTGGAGGAGAGTGGTCCTCTTCTCACAGCCCCCCTAGGCAGTGACCCAGTGGGGAATATGTGTGGGGGCTCCAACCCCACATTTGTTCTCCACACTGCTCTAGTAGAGGTTATCCATGAGGGCTCTGACTCTGCAGCAGACTTTTTCCTGGACATCCAGGCATTTCTATACATACTCTGAAATATAGGTGGAAGCTGCCAAGCCTCAACTCTTGCCCTTTGTGCACCCACAGGCTTAACATCAGGTGGAAGCCACCAAGGCTTACAGTTTGCACCCTCTGAAGCAATGGCCCAAGCTGTACCTTGCCCCCTTTTAGCCACAGCTGAAGCTGGAGCAGCTGGGATGCAGGGAGCAGTGTCCCGAGGTTGCACAGGGCAGCAGGGCCTTGGGTCCTGCCCATGAAATCATTATTTTCTCCTAGGCCTCCAGGCATGTGAGGCGAGTACTGCCATAATGGTTTCTGAAGTGCCTTTGAGGCATTTTCTCCACTGTCTTGGCTATTAACATTTGGCTCCACTTTACTTTTGCAAATTTCTGCAACTTGCTTGAATTCTTCCTTGAAAATGGACTTTTTTTTTCCCCATATGACTGGGCTGCAAATTTTCTCAACTTTCACAATATCTGCTTCCCTTTTAAATATAATTACCAGTTTCAGAATATCTCTTTGCTCACATATATAAGCTCATACTGTTAGAAGCAGCCATACCATATTCTGAATGTTTTGCTGCTTAGAAATTTCTACTGCCAGATACCCTGAATCATCTTTCTCAAGTTCAAGATTCCACAAATCTCTAGAGCAGGGTCATAATGCCTCCAATCTCTTTGCTAAGTGTAACAAAACTGACCTTTTCTCTAGTTCCCAATAAGTTCCTTATCTCTATCTGAGAGCGCCTAAGCCTGGACTTCATTGTCCATACCACTGTTAGTATTTTGGTCACAAAAAAATTTAACAAGTCTCTAGGAAGTTCCAAACTTTCCCTTATCTTTCTGTCTTCTTCTGAGCCCTCCATATTTTTTCAACCTCTGCCTGTCACCCAGTTCCAAAGCCACTTCCACATTTTCAATTATCTTTATAGCAATGCCCCACTCCTGGTACCAATTAGTCCATTCTCACATTTCTATATTAGCCCGTTCTCACATTTCTATAAAGAACTACCTGAGACTGCATACTTTATAAAGAAAAGACTTTAATAGGCTTACAGTTTCATAGGCTGTGCAGGAGCATGGCTGGGGAAGCCTCAGGAAACTTACAATCATGGTGGAAGGTGAAGAGGGAGGAGAAATGTCTTACATGGCCCCAGCAGAAGAAAAAGAGAGAAGGGAGAGGTGCTACATACTTGTGAACAAACAGATCTTGTGAGAACTCACTATTATGGGAACAGCAGGGGGGAAGTCTGCCCCCATGATCCAATCATCTCCCACCAGGGGAGGTCCAATATTAAAGATTAGAAGTTAACATGAAATTTGGGGGGAGCCACAAATTCAAGCCATATCAACAGTTAATTCTCACTTTCCATGTTTCTGATATACATAAATTTAAGTTACCATAATTTAGTTAAATAATCTCACTAACATGATTCATTATTGTATTTTTACTAAGAATAATTGCATAAAGTACAAACATCACTGCTAGTTCTTTAGTTTCCAGATCACTATGTGAGCAACAGATGCACATCATCATTAGTGGCCAATCACAACACATTTTCAAGCTCTCTTTGTAATTGCTCGCTTCATGTCTGTTTTTCAGATTGTACACATATACACAGAAAGTGTGCAGATAGGTTGCCTCTTTGTCTCAAAGTGACTAATCCATTGACATTGTGCAAAAATGGATGAAGAGGAATTTAAGCAACAAAAATGGAAGTACAGAAAAGTGATAATGTTGAAAGTAAAAATTTGAGTAGAATATAAATACATTTATAGAAGAAATAGCTGATGGTTTGAAAGTTAATACTATAGATATGCAGTCAGAGGAACTTAATGAAGGTTAAATTATTGACATAATTGCAGGAAGTGATTGTGCTGAAAAAAGATTCCCCAGAGGAAGTGAAATTAGAAAAAAGTTCCACATTAAAATAATACTTAGAAACTTTTTTTTTTTTTTTTTTTTTTTTTTTTTGAGACGGAGTCTCGCTCTGTCGCCCAGGCCGGACTGCGGACTGCAGTGGCGCAATCTCGGCTCACTGCAAGCTCCGCTTCCCGGGTTCACGCCATTCTCCTGCCTCAGCCTCCCGAGTAGCTGGGACTACAGGCGCCCGCCACCGCGCCCGGCTAATTTTTTGTATTTTTAGTAGAGACGGGGTTTCACCTTGTTAGCCAGGATGGTCTCGATCTCCTGACCTCATGATCCACCCGCCTCGGCCTCCCAAAGTGCTGGGATTACAGGCGTGAGCCACCGCGCCCGGCCAGAAACTTTTAACAGCATTAAAAATATACGAATAAAATTCAGGAAACTGATCCAAACTTAGAAAGAAGTGTTACCATTCAGCAAGATGCTTGCCAAATTGTATGCTTCAATTGTATGTAAAAAAGATGCTTGCTTTGTATTATGACTGTTTAAACTTATGGTATTAAACATATAAATTATTTAATATTTTATTACAAAGTTCTAAATAAATATTAGTTTTGTCAGTTTAAAAGTTTCTCTATACACATATCACAGACAGTAAGAGAGTGTTTAATGTTTTAATATATAAGTTTTAAAAAATTTAACTCTGTAGTTGTTACATTTTATACATTCTTTACTCACCTACATGCATTTTTATTAGTTTTAATTCTGGTAAAATACACGTAACATAAAATTTACCATCTTAACCATTTTTAAGTGTACATTGTTGTACAACCATTACTGCTATCTTTTTAACATTCTCCATTTTTTAGAACTGAAATTCTGTACCCATTAAGCAATAACTCTCTATACCTATTTCTCTGTAGCCCAAACAATGAGCATTCTACTTTCTGTATCC